>NC_000007.14:149609894-149761410 GCF_000001405.40 Homo sapiens
CACAGACAACAGCTACCAGAACTCTTTTTACGAATGTAGAAGCTCCACACACCTACGTATTTTTCAAGCCAGGTTAAGTCACACGTGATAAATCCACTCTAACTTACCTACCCCCTGAAGCGTATGGATTCTTTCTACATTATAGCAAGAAATTCCTAGTATCTCAAATGCATTTAGAATTGGCCTCCTGTGAATCCAGGGTTAGATCCACCAATGGAGCAAACAGTTTTATCCCAGCTGCTCTAGCTATGGTATCTTAAATAGAATTTTAACTGGGTACACTCCTAATAAAAAATTCAGGCTCATTTAAAATTACAGTCTTTCTACTTTATGAAGTACTCCAACAATCTGTATCCACACATGGTCTTGAAGTTTTTGCTGACATACATTAGCCAGTTGAAAATGATTTTGGTATCTGAGTCTTTGCCTCCCAGCAACTGGTGCCCAGGCTCAACTGAGATCTTACTCTCACTGTAGGTCAAGAGACCATGAGGGTGGGGAACCCAATCTCTTGCAGTGAAAACCCTTCCATCTGGGCTGGTCGGCTTTCAGGCAGGAAGAAGCGGCAGGCTTGGAGATTAGGTAGGGTTGGTGATTTGGGATAAATCAAGTTTTCCAAATGCTCCCATCAATCCATCTTACAATTCCTGAAGTTCTACCCTGAAGTTCTACCCTCTTAATCACTGACCTATTTTCAGCTGGGAGACTGGGGGAAGCTGCCAATTCCATGGACATCAAAGTTTGGCAAGCCACAGGGATCAGCCCTGGCTCTCATTTTCAGCTGTTTCACTTATTCGGTGGCAGGAGATCAGAGAGTTTTGTTATACAGTCAGAAAAAGGCCTGTGTTTTTGTCCATGTAGAACACATCATACAGGGTGACACGTGAGCTATTTGCCTTAAAACTGGTAGGACCAGCCATCCTGCCCAGAGGCCACTTATAATCTGGGAACTACAAATTGGTCCTGATGGAACTGCAGGCAAAAGTTACTCAACTTTTCTACAGTCTGATATAGGCTTCTGGATTTCTATCCCCATAAACTACCTAGATTATCATTACCTTCAAGTTTAATGAGGCCAGATTTCCAATTCACATTCCCTTCACGTTTCTGTAATCACTTGTTACACATCCCTGGTACCAGCAAGGGCACTTTGATTAAAGAAGACGTCATCTAAGGTTACTGTAGACACGGGGGCAATTGCTCACAGGATGGCAAGAAGCTCATGCACCTTAGGGAAGCCTGCAGAGCCAGGCTCGTCAAATAGGCAGGACCGGCTGGGTGCGGTGGCTCACGCCTGTAATCCCAGCACTTTGAGGCAGATGAGGGCGGATCACGAGGTCAGGTGTTTCAGACCAGCCTGGCCAAGGTGGCGAAACCTCGTCTCTACTAAAAATGGAAAAATTAGCTGGGTGTGGTGGTGGGTGTCTGTAGTCCCAACTACTCGGGAGGCTGAGGCAGGAGCATCGCTTGAACCCCAGAAGCAGAGGTTACAGTGAGCCAAGATTGTGCTGCTGCACTCCATCGTGGGCAAGAGAGCGAGACTCTGTCTCAAAACAAACAAACAAACAAACAAACAAACAAACAAAAAAACCAGGCAGGACCTCAGCCCACCCTGGCTTGGGAGCAGCCACTGCCACCACAACAGACGCTGGCTGCAGCCTCTGGCCCTACTGCCATTGCCAGAGCTCTGCCATCTCCAGAATGAATTCCAAATTAACCCTGCCTCTATGCAGGATTTATTCAACATTCACAGTCTTGTTTAGGAGAATATAGTTGGCCAAACTGAAGCCATTACCAATTGTGCTGGTTAGTTTTATGTGTCAGCTACGCACAGTGGCTCACGCCTATAATTCGAGCAGTTTGGTAGGCTGAGGCATGTGGATCACTTGAGGTCAGAAGACTGAGACCAACCTAGACAACATGGCGAAACCCCATCTCTACAAAAAATACAAAAATTAGCTGGGCGTGGTGATGCACACCTGTGGTCCCAGCTACTCGGGAGGCTGTGAGCCCAGGAGATGGAGACTGCAGTGAGTTGCGACCACGCCACGACACTCCAGCTTGGGTGACAGAGGGAGACCCTGTTTGTCTTAAAAAATTTTTTTTTTTCCTTTAATGTGTGAACTTGGCTAGGCCATGGTGGCCAGGCGTTTGTCCATAGCAATCTGGATGCTGCTGTGAAAGTATCTTTTAGATGTGATTAACATTCAATCTATCGACTTTGAGTAAAGCAGATTACCCTCCAAAATGTGGGTGGGCCTCATCCGATCAGATGAAAGCCTTATGAGGAAATGTCTGCTGTCTTCTAAGAAAGAAACTTTACCTCCATGCTGTCTTCAGGCTCGAGCTGCAACCTCAACTCTTCCCTGCGTCTCCAGATTGCTGCCATGCCCTGCAGACATCAGACTTGCAAGCTCCCACAATGGCATGATCCAATTCCTTAAAATCTCTATGTGCACACACACACACACACACATACAGCCCCTATTGGTTCTGTTTTTTCTGAGGAACCCTCATTCACACACCAACATTCAGAGGGAGGACACATCTGACCTCGATTTTTCCTTAACCAGAGACAGGATCCTGTCTTCCACCAAGACTTACACAATTGTGAATTCCCCAAATGAGGCTTGAGATGTGCAAGAAAAAAAGAGTTCTCCCCAGACCTGTGAGCACTGACTTAGCCTTCAAGAAACTGGTCTTCTCTAGAGCTTCCGGTGTCAGGCGAGGTTTTCTAGTGAAGACCTGACCTGCTTCCTCTCTCTCCTGCTTTGCAGAATGAATCCATGTGTGTTGAAGAACAGCTAAGAGTAGAACATCCTATCATGATCAGTGAGTGAAAAGATGTTGGGAGGGAAGCTGAGGCAGGGCTTGCATGTCTGGCTAGACTTGCTGGCTCCTTGCTTCTAGCACTCCCACTATGCTAATGTTTCTCATTCACTTGATACACTGTTTCCTTTCAATCCCCACATCCTCACCACCTGTTTGAGCACCAATAAATAGCGTGTGCTCCCAATGCTTGGGGCCTTTGCAGCCTCCAGACTCGCCATGGCCCTCTGGTCCCACTTTCTCTTTCAAACTGTCTTTTTCTCATTCCTTTGACTCTGCTGGACTTCGTCACCCCCATGACCTGGTGTTGGGTCTGATCACCCCAACAAAAGAAAACAGGAAGGGGGCACCTGGATTTGAATCAGGGACCTCTTGATTTGCAGTCAAATGCTCTACCCCTGAGCTATACCCCCATGTAATTGCCTGTCTCCAATAAGAACTATAAACCTGTATGGCCACACCCTGACTGTCACCATTATGAGATATGTACTTGCTTCGTCACGATATACCCCCTTCCTACTCCACACCTGCCTGCCAGCTCTACTTACAACCAGCATCCTTCCTTCTCCAGTGTGTGACTGAAGGCAGGGACATTAAAATCACTGCGGTTTGCAGCCAGAACATCCTTCAGACTCGCCTAGAACAGAGGGACTCAAAAGAACTGGTTGCTCAACAGACCCTTTAAAGGTGAGGCTGGGCTGGGCAGAGCTGGGTAAAAGCAAAAGTTCTTGAGCCCCACTTGAGGACTCCTAAGCCACACTATCTGGGAAAGGACCTAGGGACATGTGTGCTTCTAACCAACTCCCTGCACCATTCTGACTTACAGTTTGGAAACACTGGTTTAATCTGTTCCCTTCCATGGTATAGATCTAGAAAAAATGACAGTAATTAAAATCATGCCCAAACAAAACACACTTGATTAATGACCAAGTCATGACTAGAATCCACATTCATGATAAAGGGCCTCTTTGCACTGAACACTCTGAGGCAGGAGTTGAACTGCCTTTTCCTTTCCTCTTCTTTCCTCTTCTCCTCCATTCGCTGAATCCCACAATGTGTCAGATAAAAGTAGTGACCAGAAGACAAGATCCAATCCATGGAAAAGTGGAGAAGTGGAGAATCAGAGAAATCTGTGGTCACAGACATGACACAGGACGGAGTGACTGCAAACACGTGGGCAGAGTGAAAGGAAGGGCCAACAAGTGACACCATCTTGAACCAGGGACTAGATATGCAGCCAGATGCTCTGCCCCCAAAAGGTGCCCTCTCAACTGTTTAGACTTTCCTGATTGACACTGTTTCACCTATGTTCCCACGCCCAAGGATCTAATAGACATTGTAATTTCTCATCATTTTCAGTGAACCACTGGCAACTGACCTCCTTCAGACAGACCTCTATCTGGCTTTGAACTTACCCTGTCCTTCCCCATGGACCTATCAGAGGACTTCTAGAAATCTTTCCTGCCTAGAATCCTGCAGCCTCCTCCTCAGTCCCTGTGTGGGGCAACAATTTGGAGAACTCCTGTTTAGAGCTGGAAGCTTCCTCTCTCCTTCTCTCCTACTTTAGTTTTATCTTCTCTTACCTACATCCCATACTCTCTCTCCACTTCACTTTCACCCTCTGCACAGTGGGGTTACTTTGGGCCCTGGCCTACATTTTTTGACTGTCTTCTCTTCTTCCCTCTCCTCACTTACTAGTCCTTCCCTTTAAAAGGGAGACACCACCTTAACAGAGGGGACCCAGCCCCATGCTAGCCCCAAACCATTAGCTCAGCACAACTGGCAGAGCCAGGACCAGGCACGAAGGCTATTTGAGCTCTGAAGCTCAGGCCTCCAGTATCCTGAATTAAGACAAGGATCTCTCCCCATCAGGTTGGCAGAAATGTAATTATAGAAACTGGGCAGACATAAAGAAACAGGTTCTTCATAGCTAGCTGCTGCTAGGCGCACCTGGTGGCACTGGGGTACTTCTGGGGACAGCAATATGGCAATGGCAGAGACAAAATCAAGCAAGCCTATGATATGGTGAGGCCACCGCTGGGTCTGTTTTCTGGAGTAGCATCCCCACAGGGGCACAAAAAGAGACAGGCCCAAGAATGATCACTACGGTATCGCTTGTGAGTGTGAAAAATCAAAAAAAGCTTAAGTGCCAATCAGTGGAGGAATGGAAAATAAGTTACAATATAGTTGCTTCTGGAATATTAAGCATCTGTTAAAAGGAATAAACTTGATCTACATGTATCAACATGGATAGGTCTGAAATACAGAATAATGAGTGATAAATATAATGACATCTATGTAATGTTTCAAAACACAAAAATCCATATATTGTTCACAACTACCAATGCACACAGTAGACATTTTAAAATGTGGATAGAGGGTGAGCACGGTGGCTCACGCCTGTAATCCAGCACTTTGGGGAGGCCGAGGCAGGTGGATCACGAGGTTACGAGATCAAGACCATCCTGGCTAACATGGTGAAACCCTGTCTCTAATAAAAATACAAAAAATTAGCCAGGCTTGGTGGCATGCGCCTGTAGTCTCAGGTACTCCAGAGGCTGAGGCAGGAGGATTGCTTGGACCTGGGAGGCGGAGGTTGCCGTGAGCCAAGATCGTGCCACTGCACTCTAGCCTGGGCGACAAAGAGAGACTCCGGCTCAAAAAAAAAAAAATGTGGATAGAAAGGATAAACAGACAATTCAGGACAAGCGGCTGCCCTACAGAGGTCTGGGAGACCTAAATGATATCAAAAATCCATTATTTCGCACACACACATCACACACATACACACACACACATTTTGAATTACAAAGCATGGCATACATTCAGCAAATAGTTACTGAATTCCTACTCTATGCTCAGCAATATCTCAGGTGCCTAGAATGAATATATGAAGAAAACAGTTAAAAAGTCTTTGTACTTTGAAACTGACATTCTAATGAGGTAGACCTGACATACGATGAAATCTATAAATAGGAAATATATATATTATGTGACGCTGTCTGACACGGAAGACCGAAAGCAGGAAAGTAGGCCCGGAGTCCTGGGTGGGGAGGGGCTGCAGTGCCGATGACAGGAAAGGCCTGCAGGTGGGACCTGCCTGAGGAGCACTCCCAGCAGAGGGCACTGCGAAGGTCCTGGCACAGGGTGGAGGGGACACCACCAGGGATGGTGCAGCTGGGCAGAGTGAGAGAAAAGTGGAGGAGGTGAGCCAATAGTGCGGGTCAGATGGAAAGCCAGGACTTGCGTCTAAAAGGGATTACTCTGCTGGGCTGAGATGAGACTCTGGGGGATCAGGGCAGGGGCTGGCAACAACCTCAGCAAGAGACGATAAGCCTGGGTGTCAGAGTGGAGGGGATGAGGCGTGGACAGACTCTGGGCAAACCTGGCAGGGAGGGCCAGTAGGGTTTCTGGTGGAGTGGATGCGGATGTGGAGGAGGAGGTCAGAGAGGACTCGTGGGGTTTTGCCTGTAAATGGAAGGATGGAGCGGCCATTTACTGGGTTGGGGAGAATGTGGGAGGAGCAGGCTATTCAGAGAAGACAGGAGCTCAGCGCTGGGAATGTTTGGGGGGAGTTTATGAGACACTGAGGTGGAGATACAGGCCAAGCAGCTAGATGTGCGGAATTTGGGGCAAAAACCCAGGTTTGAGGCACACATTCCTAGATGGTATGTGTGGCCCCAAGACCCTGGGAGACGATGGGAATGAGGAAATGCAAGTAGAGAGCGGGTGTGAGAACCAAGGGCGCTCTAGGGCTGAGAGGCTCCACAGGGCAACAGGAACCAGCGAAGAAAGAGCAGTGAAGGTGGGTGGCAGGTGAGAGGAAAGTGAGCAACATGGCAAGTGTTACGAACAGGCCAAGTAAGAAGACAGACCATTTAACACCACGGAGGGCCCTGGTAACCGAGGCTGGAGAGGTTTTGGCGGAAGGGGTAAAAGAGTGGGAGGGAAGAGGCAAGAGACAGCAAGCACAGATGTACCCAAGGGGCTCTGCCACGAAGCGGAGCAGAGAAGCAGGCCGTGGCTGTAGGGGTAGAGGTCAAGGTAGGATTGACTGTGTTGCCCTTGAGAAGCTGGCATGGGGTGGGATGCAGCACCAGGTGGAAGTGGGGCTTTGGCTGGAGAGTCGACAGTTTAGCAGTCACAGGACTGAAGGCAGAGAAGGGGGCACAGGTGCAGGCAGATGGCATGGGGAGAGCTGTGCAAGTGAGTGGTGTATTTCTCTTTAATTAAAAAAAGGGGGTTAAAATATAAAACCAATCGCAGCTGTGGGCCATACAGAAACAGATGAGCTAAATTTGGCCCTCAGCCACAGTTGGCCGGCCCCTAGGCTAGGGAAACACAGTGTGACTGCGTGGCAGAGCGCCCACTGAAGTCGCTGGGCGTGGATGTCACGTGACACCAGCAGCCAGCTTACCTGGTTCTCTGCACCACGTGCAGCTGTTTGGCTGCAGGCACAGAACACTGATGGATTTCACCAGGTGGATACAATGAACAAAACAAGGGCAAGGGCACTGGGGCTGTGTGCAAAGGGAGACCACAATGGTGGGCATGGAGGGAAATGAGAGAGGGCAGTGAAAAGGCGGCAAGATCGATGGCTTGCAGGTCTTGAAAGACTGGAAACTGCTGGAATCAGGACACCAGAGAGGGAATTGAAGGGACAGCAGGAGGCGGTTGGGGAGTGGTGTGCTGGAGATGGAGATGGTGGTTGTGGTGCAGTCACTGTCATCATAGTCATGGATGGCCGTGGGATGGGTGGAGGGGGCACAGGACCATCCACAAGAAGGCTGCCATGGCCAAGACTGAGGGCCGGAAGAGTGACGAGAAGAGAGGGAAGGTCTGCAGAAGCAGCAAAAAAGACGAGGCCTGAGACCCAAAGGCAGGGTCTCTACAGAGGGAGTGAGGCTGGCAGAGACGCAATCATGAGAGGCGAGGACCCTGTCCCTGGTGGGCCTGGGCTCAGATGGAGGCAGGGAAGAGGATGACAAGCACTCAGAGGGCTGCAGTCCCCTGGAGCTCAGTCTGAGCAGGGAACACTCAGGACCTGGCGGGTCTGCTGAGCCCTAAGTCCCACAAGGCTCAGTGGAGGGATGTGCAGGAGGTGAGGAGAAGGGGAGGTGAGGTCTCACAAGGGGATGGGTCAGACCAAATGTGGCAAGGGATGAGCCATGATTCCCGGCTCCTTGGAAAAACAGGACAGGGATAAAGGCTACACAGGATCCCTGCCAACAGGCTCAGGATGGACAGTGGAGTTTGTGTCTACTCATCTTGTCTACTGGTGGGTAGAGGCCACGGATGCTGCTGAACATCATACGATGCAGCTAGAGAGTGTTACAGGGTCTTACCAGCAACCAACATATTTCCAGCCCCTCTTTACTCTCATTGAATGATGCCGTGGAAGTGAGAGAAGCCTCCACATACGGTGTAAATACAACGAAACCCACCCACCCAGAACCTCCCACCCAGGCTAAGAAGCTGGACGCGCATGGGTTGTAACCCTCTTTTCCAGCCCAAAAGTATCTGTCCTCGGCCATCTTTACATCCTCCAGCGCTTAGCACTGTCCTTGATACCTAGAAGATTCTCAAAAATGCATCTGTAGAACTAAACTGTCAATGTCCTGATGACGACTGGCAAAGCGGCCAGCCCGGAACATGCTTCTGCCCTTAGGAAAGTGCAAATCTGACTGAGATAGATGACGAACATGGGGGATGCATTTAATTTCACACAAGTGGCGCACAGGAGGGCCTCTGCGGACCACCACCTTTCTCAGTGTCAGACGAAAGGGAAAACCAAAGCAGGTGGGACGGTCAAGGGCAGGTCTTCTGGAGGAATCAGGGGTCGAGCCTTGCAGAGATGTGGTCTCTGTGGTCAAATGACCAGCAGGTCTCCAATTCAGAAATGTGGTTTTTCTCCTGTGTCCATCTGTCCTTCCCTTAACTTTCAAAGGTGCTGACTGGCTCCAGGGAAATCTGAGACACTGATATCTGGTAACCAGATTCACCTTAAATAAATGTATGCCTCTAATCATACTGAACCATAAGGCTGACCAATGGGTTTATGTTCTACAACTGCTACTGGCTTAAATTAAGGTTGAGTTTGGACGCGGTGGCTCATATCTGCAATCCCAGCACTTTGGGTGGCCGAGGCGGGCAGATGGCCTAAGGTCAGGAGTTCAAGACCTGCCTGGCTAACATCGGGGGTGAAACCCTGTCTCTACAAAAATACAAAAATTAGCTGGGCACGATGGCAGGTACCCGTAATCCCAGCTACTCGGGAAGCTGAGGCAGGAGAAATGCTTGAACCCAGGAGGCGGAGGTTGCCAGTGAGCTGAGATCGTGCCACTGCACTCCAGCCTGGGTGACAGAGCAAGATTCCGTCTCAAAAATAAATAAATGAATAAATAAATAGACACTGGTTCTCGGAAGCAAGACTGACTCTTTGCAAAGCTTTGAATTAATTTTGTTTTCAATACACAGCTGCCCCTTGAACAACATGGGTTTGAACTATGCAGGGCCACTTATAAGTGAATTTCCTTCTGCCTCTGTCACCCCTGAGACAGTAAGACCAACCCCTCCTCTTCCTCCTCAGTCTACTCAATCTGAAGATGACAGTGAGGATGATGACCTTTATGACCCACTTCCACTTAATGAGTAGTAAATATATTTTCTTTTCCTTATGATTTTCCCAATAACATTTTTTCTCTAGCTTACTGTAAATATACTATACATAACATATAGAGCATACAAAATATGTGTTATTCCCTGTTCATAGTATCAAGGCTTCTGGTCAATAGGAGACTATCTGTTAACTTTCTGGAGAGTCAAAAGTTAGACGTAGATCTTCAGCTGCGTGGGACTGGGGGCTGGCGCCCCTGGCCCCTGTGTTGTTCAAGGGTCCACTATGCTCCTGCCTTCCCTCTCAGTGTCCTCCTCTCCCTCCCCTCAACCTGTGCCCTGCCTTTGTCTCTTCCTAAAAGAATAGGTTTGTCACCTGTTTCCCTGATAGAAAGTGTTCGTTTCTGGAGCATTAGCTGACTAAGTTAGAGATTAAAACTCAACTATAAAAAATTCAAGACATAAAACCTGTAAGTTTCATGTTTCTCCTCGACTCTCTCTGGAAAGATCACACCCTTCCTGGCCTTTCCATCTCTGTTTCCCACAAAATACCTGATGCCTCCCTGGCCTTCTCCCAGCCCTTACCTGGACTGGGGTCCACAGGAACATCTGGAATCTTGGGGTCAGGGCGGCGCCAGTTGCAGGGCTCCTTCCCTTGTTCAATCTGGGAGAGGACCTCGGACTTGGAGATGGCGTAGTCTGAGGAAAGACAGAAGGTTAGTTTTTGTCACGTTCCAGTCAGAGCTGAGGACAGTCAGCCCTGAAAACCAACAATGGTCTAGAAACAAAATCTCCTGATTGTCTCCTGAGAGCAGTAGCTCTCAACCACAGGCAATTTTCCTCCCCGGGGACATTTGGCAAAGTCTGGAGACAATTCTGGTTGTCATGCCCAGGGCTGGGGGAGAGGTGACTGGCATCTGGAGATGCCCTGAGAGGCCAGGGCTGCTGCTCAACATCCTACGATGCAGAGGATGCCGCCGACACACAGAATCACCTGGTCCCAAATGTCCACAGTGCCGGGATGAAGAAACTGCCACAGAGCGTGCACGTTAAACAGCAGTGCACTTGTGCTGATGAAACAACCTCACGTCTGCACCTGCTCCTGCCCTCTCTAACAGGTCTCACTGCCCTTGGCTCCAGGATCACACAGAAACCATCAGGAAGAGGAAATCAGCCCGGGAAGAAACAGAGTCCAGGCCCTTCCTGGGCAGGATCAAACAAGGAGAGCAGCAGTAGCCCAAGAAAATGAGGGAAGTAAAGTTTTGAGGCATGAAGAAAATGTCAGCTGCAAGCAGCACCGCTGGCCCATGTTCTCCACTGACCTCAAAGCATGTTGCCGTAAGGGCCACACGTATCTGTAGAAGAAGGCCGAATTAGAAAGAGTCTTTCTCAAATGTGAGTCAATTACTTACTGGATCTGAGAACAGAAGGGGTCCTCCCCGCTCCAAGTAAGCACCAATAGAAAGGTCCATACCCTGGACCTGTGTAGGAGACAAGCCACCACCTTTCCCAGCTTGGTATTCTGGGGCCCTGCACACAGGGCGAAGGGAGCTTTTAACTCCATCACCCAGGGCTCATCTTTCACAGGAGGTAACAACTCTCAAGGTCAACGCTTCTGGTGATTTACATATCACTGTCATGAAAACAACCACGTGCAGAGAGAAGTACACGGACTTCCAAAATCCAATAATGAGTGTCAGGCCTTACCCAAAGAGACCAGCATCTCGCAGTTGCCCCTCATCACGTGCTTGCAGAGCTCCTTCTGCCAGTCCTCCAGCTTGCCCCACACTTGCTCAGAGAACTACACAGCCACATCATCAAATGTCATAGGCACCTGAAACCACAAGCGTCACACTCGCTCACCCACACGCTCACAGGCTTGGCCCGCGGCCTCCCCAACCCCAGGGCGCCCCAGGGCTACCTTAGGGGACTCCCCCTTGCTGCCCGGGGGCAGCCGCAGGATCCAGAAGTTCCTGTTGTGCAGCAGGTTCTCCACGTTCTCCAGCCGCCTCTGCAGCAGCCCGTACTCCTGCAGCAGGGTCCCCAGCACGGCCCACTTGCCCTCCAGCTGGTTCCCGAACTCCACGGCTGTCTTCTCGCAATCAGCCAGCTTCTTCTCGGCCATCCCGGTTTGACCTTCTAGGGAAAGCAGGTGAGCAGCCTGCGATTCAATCTTCCTCTCCATGGCCTGAATCGTGGCTGCCATCGTCCACGGAGAAATCTTTCAGAAACAAAAGAGAAACTGGCATCATTCATTCCATCCACTGTCTTCACTGAGCCCCTCTCTCCCTAGGCACGGGGGAGTTGGGCTGGGAGTCCATATGTGTGGACAAGTGGGGCTATCCTATACCACATGCCAGATCTCAGGTTGGCCATCACCTGCTTGGGTATGTTAGGTCTATGTCTGGGTGGGTGCCTTTACTCCAGGCCTCTGCAGCACAATGCAGACCCTTATCACGGTGCTTATCACCCTACACAGTAATTTCCTACCCACGCCTACACTGTTGGCTCCCTGAACATGGTATTGCACCTTTTCACACCACGGTCCTTGACACATGCCTGGCACTCAGTGCAGTTTTGCTACGTATAGTGTGACTTAGCATTGCTCGGTATTTTAGTGGGGAAATGGTAAACTGCAGATTTACTAGAGCCCAGCCTGCACCTCCCCTCATGATTACACAGGAACTGTCTACTGATGATGACCCAGCCAAAAAAAAAAAAAACCACAGCTCGTTCACTGAAACCGCACAAACAAGAGTACTGCTCATTTTTTTTAAAGCATCTTATGTCCCCTTTTAATAAACATAAAAATCTAATGGCCAGTTCCTCTTCCCCCAGGACAGTCTCATTTTGTCCCCTTCCCATCTGCCCCTCCCCACAAGCTAAAATCCCCATGACTGCAAATCTCCATCAGTCCAGAGTTTTTTGACACTGCATGAGCCCTACAAGATTCTTTCTCTTTCCCAATTCCCATCTCCTCAAGGTAAAAATGATGGCTTCAATCATTTTTGTAGCTGTACTAGGAGTGGTGACATACACTCTGGTGAGGAAAATGGACATATGCCACAAACTTACACTTATATATGGGCAAAAACCATCTTAATTCGAGATGAGGGGCTTCCCTGTCCTTGGAAACATTCACATGGTGTATCAGTGACTGGCAGCTGGGGACAAGGAAGAATGAGCACATTTTGCCTTGGGTGGGGAGCTGGACTATTTGAGCCACCCACATCTGAATGTGGGACCTATAGGGCAGAGAGAAGCTCCTGGTATCCATGCCCAAGGATCGACGCCCCCTTACAACATTCTGCAAAATAATTCCTCAACAAAAGGTTGGTGATTGTTTGCAAAATGAAGAAGTGGCTACTAGAAACCAGTGTGGATGCACTCAGGGAAAGTCACTGAGAACTACAATGTGAATAGATACCTCAAAAAATAGAGACAAAAGGAGAGTTTGAGCAGAAGCAGAAAAAAACTTCTCCAGGACAGTACTCAAGGGCCTGTCTGGCTGTTTGGAGGGAAACAGGACCCAAAGAAGGTAGGACTCTAAAAGGTCTTCAAGGCTGGGAGGTTCTGGACAAGCTGAACTGTTTCTAGGCGAAAACCCCAATGTGGATGGCGAGTCTTGCTCTCAAGGAGTAGGTGGTCCTACAAGTACCTGGGTGGGCCCGCTTGGTTCTGGGTTTGAGTCTGCCCTCCACCTAAGGCCACTGTTCCCTCACCTCTCCTTTCTTAGATCAATCCCTGCCACGTGAAGTCGAACGCCAAGAGTTTACTCCAGAAGCTTCCTTTCAACTGGTCACCAGCTCCCCATCCACTGAAATCCTACCCATCCTCCACGTGCATTATTACAGTCTTTGTGTGGCATGAAAGGGACCTCTGCATAAACTACTTTATTAAGAAAATATTAGTCTTTTACTCATGGATAATAAAGTACATGGTTTTCTCACAATTCTGATGGGGCCAGGAAACCCTGTGTAAGGCCTTCACACTATGTGGTGGGAGGTGTCGACTGTGCGCTGCTCACTCCAGCCCAGCTTCTTACTGACAAGTGGCTGGAATATGTGGGGCTGTCCTTGGACTCCTGCCAGGAAGCCGAAACTCTTTGCTTGAGAGGAGCTGATGGTAAGAGGAGCCCGATCCCTCACTGGCCGCCCACCCGCAGGATGAAGTCCTGGCATGCAAGCCCCTTCCTAGTCTCTCTCTGCAGACTCCTTTCCCACTGCCTCCAAACCAAAACCATCTTCTCCAGGCTCATGGACTCCTTTCTGTGCCTGCACACGCCCTGCACTGTCCCGTCTCTCTGCGCCTTTGCCCAGGCACTCCTCCCTCCCTGAAAGCACCACCGGTCTAGCTGGGCCTGAAATCCTAGCCGTCCCTAAAAGCCCGGCTCAAATCACAGAGGCGCAGAGCATCAGGCCAGGAGGGGTGGACAGCGGTACCAAGAGGCCCCCTGACACTCCTTCCCCCGGAGCCCACCGCAAGCTTCCACCTGGGCGCCAACACTCACCCCTTCCTATTTTGCACAATTATTGCCCGCGTACCTGCCTGCCTGGTCCTTGAACACACAGCCACTGTGTGTCTTTTCACACTTCCAGGTGTGCAAGCCTGGGCAAGTTAACTTCTCTAAGCCCCAGGTTTTTCTTTTGCATGACAGAGATAACACCAGTACCCATCCCACAGGCTTGCTGTGAGGACAGAAGGACAGACTAAGGCCTCAACAGGACTTGGTGCAGTACCTGGCTCTATATTCCCTTCCGCGCCGACCCTGGGGAGCTGGGCACGTAAGGGGTGTCGGTATACGCGGATTCGAAGCCTCACAACTCCCAGGTACCACTAAGCCGCTGGGGGGAGCTGGGGGAGGGACCCACAGGCCGAGCGCCAAGCAGAGAAAAGAGCCTCGGGTGGGGGGACGCAGATGTAGGGTTCAGCGGCTGGGGCGGGGGCAGGAAGCCCCGGAGGGGCCAAGGATCTTGGCGTGGGGCGGCCCGGGGCGGGGACAACCGTTCCGCCAGCGCTCGGGCTCGGCCCGGAGTGGGGGGCCCGGCTGGCAAGCGCAGTAGGCCCCGGCAGACGCCGCGGCCCTGTTCCCCGGAGCCCCAGGCGCGGTAGTACGGCTCGGCTCCCGCAGCCCCCGTGTGCCGGGCCCGGGTCGCCCGGGGAATCCAGGCCGCGAGTTCGTGCGCGCGCTGGTCGCCCTTACCGGAGCTGCGGCCGCCTCCTCCATGGCCCTGCGCTGTCCCCCGCGGCCCAGATAAAGTCGTCGCCGCTGCTGCGCGCGGCCCCACGCAGGGCCCGCCTCCCGGTGCTCTCCGCAGGCGGCGCCCGCCCAGCCCTGTCTCTGCCGCCGCTGCTCCCTGACTGCCCCTGCCCTGCGCCGCCCGCAGTTGCGTCAACGCCTTTAGCGCCCGGCCGGTCCGCACTGTATCCTGGGAGCCGGCGCGGCCGACGAAGGCACATGAGGCTTCCTGGAGGCAGGCAGCCGCACAGCCCCACCTGCAGCTCCGGAGGCGAACTGCAGGCGCGACCCCGCCTGGCCCGCGCCCGGGAGCTGACCCCGCGACCCCTGGCCGACCCCTCGCCCCTTCCCCGACTGCCGCGTGTGCGCGCGCAGTCACTGCGCTGGCCCCGCGACCCAGGCCGAGGGACTCGGTTACCGAAAGAGTCCCCCTCATAAGACCCGCCTGGCCGCGCCCGCGGGCAAGCAGGGGCTTCCAGGCAGGGCCCTCCCCGGTGACCGCGGGCAGTGTGGCCCCCTCGCCCAGCTGGGCCCCGGCGCGGCCGAACAGGCACTTCTGCCGCCCGAGGTCCTGGGCCTGGAGGTTTGGGCTGTTTTCGGGGGGCAGCTGTAACTCATCCCCATCTGTGTTTGAAGTGGAATAAATACTTCGAACAATAGGAATATACCGGTAGATGCTACTTAGCATTTTCTACCATGTGTTTATTACAGTAAATATTTTTTAATGGCATGAGCAATGGAACGCAATACCATCATTGAACATTATTTTGGGGAAGAAATTGGTATGGACAGATGTTCATGATATTTTAAGAGAAAAAGCCTGTCCAGAACGATCCTGTCTTTGTTTTAAAATTAACACTTTAAAACAATATATGACATCATATGTAGTATTATATACCGTGTATATGTGTATCTATAGTTTTGAAAGTTTGGAAGCATACAAATGTCAACATAGACTAAGTAGTTTTCTTTAATAGAGCACAGGCCGTTTTTACGCATTTTATTTTCCCAATTCATGTTTTTATTTTTCAATAACAAGGATAGTATTTTTAAACGAGAGAAAAATAAACATTTAAAAGTCCTTAAGAGGCTGAGGATGGAGGGCGCCTTGGACGGGGGCCCCCACGTGGTTACAGAGGCGCATTGCCTTTCAGATTCCTGGGCTGAGTGGGGCTCTTTCCAGCTGGGGAACCTGCGACATGTGATGTGGGGTCTATGGGGCTTGCCAGGCCTAGGGACCGGGATCTGAACATTCTCCCCTAGTTTCTCTTCATCAGCGTGGGCTGTACGTTCAGTGTATAAAAATGGAATTGCCCCAGGAGTCGTGTGGGCGAAGACCTTACTCATAGTGTTGCCGATGCTCCTGCGTCCGACTTGCTTCTTTGGGTCGCAGGCACAACCTAGCTATTCTCTGATGCCTCTCATCTCTGGGCGATTGTCCCTCAAATGAGGGGGTTTAGAGATTTCCTGCCTGGAGCCTTTGGCATCATTTTGTCTTTTGGAGTAAATCCGACAAAGGGTAAAATCACCCTACTCACCCCGTGAGCTGTAGGAGAATGTCCCTGGACCTGCCCCAGGTTTTTCCTGTTTTTTTTTTTTTTTCCCTTCAGCTCTTCCACGTGATTCCTTCCCCTCTCAAGTAACACATCTCCTCTCCTAGGGGTGGACTCGTGTTTTATGGGTCTGCAGCTTGTGTAATCAGGAAGAACATTATTAAGTAAAAGCCTCATAAAATTACAAATTTAGAAGGAGGCACAGAGCTGGTGCAGGAAAGGCACTCTGAAGCTTCCTTAGCTTCACTGTAATGTCCTGGATTAAAAAAAAAAAAAAGCCAGCCTTGTCTAGGCTGGGACATGTGCACCACGGAGATTGTAGGGGGAACTGGGAATCAGGAGACCTGTCAGTTCTGTCATTAACCAGTCGAGACCCTTGGGCAAGTCAGTCAGCCCTTGCCTCACATGTAAAGTGAGGAGATTGGAGTAGATCATTCTGCAAATGTCCCTGAGTCCAGCCTTCCTTTCACCACTTGATACGGGACCCAGTAGAAGACCACCGCTTCCTCTCTCACTGTGGCCTTTTTGCGGGTCACCCTGCATGATAATTTACCTCTATTATCAAGACAACAATGTGTTGGCAAGTCCCTGCCATGTTGCCTGGAAGAGCTACTCCCGGATTACCTTGGAAAAGGGCCTTATTCCTGTTTGAGGAGACAGAGGTGTCATCTCCATGGCAATATGGCCCCTAGGGGAACTAGTGCTTTCATGGTGTGTCCCATGGTGTGTGCTGGAGGATGTGAGCAGTGGGGCAAAGTGCGGTCTGGACTTAAGTGACCATCTGTGTGTCCCTTGAAGGAATTTAACATCATAGAAATCACTGTGGAATTCAGTGTTTCCCAGGTCCTCGGACCAGAAGTGGAGAGGAGTGGCTGGCTTTGCTGCCTTCTGAGAAGGCTGCCAGGGCTACAAGGCAAAAGGCCTGTGGGTAAAGGAGAAAATTCCAGTAGAAGGAAAAGACAGTTCACAGGAAGGGACAGTTTACCAGCTCCTGTGACAAGAGAAGAGGCGGGGCCTTGGCACAGCTGAGGAGGTGAAAACGAGCTTACCCAAGTGTTACTCCACGTGTTCCTTCTAAGAGGGACAGGGCTCTGCTTGCCATCGGAAAGGTCACGTGGGAGGCTGGACGCAGTGGCTCATCCCAGAGCTTTGGGAGGCCAAGGCAGGAGGATCGCTTGAGGCCCCGAGTTTCAGACCAGCCTGGGCAACATAGTGAGACGTCTGCTCTACAAAAAAATAAAAATAAAAAGTATTAACTGGGTATGGTGGCACACACCTGTGGTCCCAGTTAGTTGAGAGGCTGAGGCGGGAGGCTTGCTTGAGCCCAAGAGTTGGAGGCTGCAGTGAGCTATAATTGTTTCACTGCACTCCAGCCTGGGTAACAGTAGAATACCCTGCCGCTTAAAAAACAATGAAAGAGTCAAGTGGGGTTGTTCTCCTGCAACATTTTTTGGTCCTTGAAACTAGGTTAACATTGGTCCTTTTAAGGCTTTTGGGGATTCCAAAATCTACTCAGCTACCACCTTCTCACTATTTCTTGGAGTTGCTTCTTCTCCATCATTCTCCATGTATATTAACTGAAGAAGTAGAGCTGGAAGAATCATCTTTTGTCGTAGATTGCAGTTGTGTTGAAAGTGCCCTGAATGGAATACTGGGCCAGGAGAGCCAGACGCAACTCTGTCATTAAGTGTGTTAGAAAAGACACCTCAGTCACATGGAGTTTCTTTTGTAGGTGCCCACCGTGACAGGCACTAGAGGTTGACTCTGAAGGTCATTCTAGCAGTGCTTTTCCAGGCTGCTGCCCCAACCCAGGGACTCACGGCAGGGAAGACACAGGATCCGGGGTACCTGAGGAGGAGACACTGCCTCTTGTTATGCACAAGGTCAATGAGTTCTCACTCAGGCGGGTCTGGCAGCTCCTATGAGCTTCTATTTTGAAGTGGCAACTCATAGGTTCCTGGTAATCTGGGTATGGCTATAAAAGTCAAAGATATTAACTAACCCACACAATAGCAGGACACAGTATAGCTCAGGGGTAGAGTATTGGACTGCAGATCCAACAGGACACCAGTTCAAATACAGATAACCCCTCTGGCTTTTCAATTTTGACATTTTAAATAGGTGCCTACATTTTAACTTCTTTTCTATTAGACACTAGGGTAAAGATTTCATTTTTTCTGGAACCAGCAAATGGTGAGGGTAGAATGTGGTGGTTTTATACATTTTAGGGAGACATGAGACATCAGTCAATATGTGTAAGATGTACATTGGTTAGTTCTGGAAATGTGGGACAACTTGAGGTGAAGGCAGGACAACTGAAAGCAAGGAGGGGGCTTCCAGGTCACAGGTATATAAGAGACAAATGGTTGCATTCTTTTGAGTTTCTGATGAGCCTCTCCAAAGGAGGCAATCAGATATGCACTTATCTCAGTGAGCAGAGGGGTGACTTTGAATAAAATGGGAGGCAGCTTTGCCCTAAGCAGTTCCCAGCTTGACTTTTCCCTTCAGGTTAGTGATTTGGGGGCCCCAAGATTTATTTTCCTTTCACATTTAAGTGTACAGTACTTGAAACTGGACCTGGGGCTGGGTGCGTTGGCTCACACCTGTAATCCCAGCACTTTGGGAAGCCAAGGTGGGCGGATCACGAGGTCAAGAGTTCGAGACCAGCCTGGACAACATGGTGAAACCCCATCTCTACTAAGAATACAAAAATTAGCCGGGCGTGGTGGCACGTGCCTGTAATGCCAGGTACCGTGGAGGCTGAGCAGGAGCATCTCTTGAATCTGGGAGGCAGAGGTTGCAGTGAGGTGGAGGTTGCAGTGAACCAAGATTGCGCCATTGCACTCCAGCCTGGGCAACAGAGCGTGACTCCGTCTTGGAGAGAAAAAAAACAAACAAACAAAAACTGGACCAGAACAGCATCTTCCAGGAACAAAGGCTGTTTCAGCATTTCCTAGTTGTCTTAATTTGTCCCCTTTTTCATCCAGGCATTCCCCCTGGGATGGGGTGGTATTGGTCTTCTAATTCCAAACAAACCACGAGGATTTATAGCTCAGTGAGTGAGCCCATATAAGGCCAAGAGAGTCTGCAGAGGATGAAATGTCAACAGGTTAAAATATAAGTAAAGTTCCATGTTGTGTTTAAGTTTTGTAACTATCAAAAGCAATTTTATGTCATATTTAAGCTTTAAAAGCAAACTTCTGCAGAAGGGATTATTGAATTATATCAACCATCTCAAAAGCTAAAGGATGTGATGGCATTCTATGCTTTGGAGAACAAACAGCTTTTTTGGTACAAAATGTCAAAATTCATGGAGGTTCAGCTATACAGCATAGAATTCAGAAGCACAATTCATGATTTTTAGTATCCCTTACACTAATCACCTTTTATGAATCTTTTTCAGAACTACCTAAAATATGTTTATTAATTCTTCTGATTTATATGAACAACAGAAGTTTCTACTTTAGATAGGTTAAAAAGAGGTTCTTGTAATAAAACTATGTGACAGCAAGAAAGTCTTACTATCTTTACACTGAATGGCAGGAAAACACAACAGAGAAGCAGGCATTGAAGACAGAGCCTGGTCAAGTGTAGTGTCACTTGAGGCTCTGCCTAATTTGACCATTTAGCAAATGGTGCTTTGCTCTACTCCCCTGAGTTGAAAATATTCTGTATCCTGTGACCTTTCTTTTTAGTATAAGATGTAGGAGCCTGAATAACAGAACTTCTTTTATCTTTGGTGACGTGCTTTATAATTTTCTTTTCCTTAAAGCAGATTCCTTTTGTTAACAAAATATTCGAATTTTTTATTTAGTACTTTTTTTTTCCTCCAAAAAGTGGCATTGGTAACTCAAACAAGAAATGCTAGAGGGGATGGACACCCCAATCCCCATGATGAGCTTATTTCGCATCGCATGCCTCTTCCAAAACAGCTCATGTGCCCCGTAAATATATATACCACTTTGTACTCACAAAAGCTTACATTTTTTAAGAAGTGGCTTTTGCTGTTCCAGTTTCACACTTAGAGCTTTGGCCTAGAACTTGGGTACTTGCCCCTTTCCCGTCCCTGCCCTCCAATGCCTTCTGATAGTGAAAATGGTCTCTTGGGGCAGCCTCCTTCCTGTATCCCCATTACTGTTTTAGCTCCTCCACCCAAGCCCGCCAGCCCTCCAGCTACTCTATAAACAGTCTCCTTCCTCCTTAACCTTGCCCTGGGAGTCTGCCTTTTTATCCCTCCTTGTACATCTGAAGGCCAGCTTTCCCGTGAAGCCATCCCTCCCCTTCAACCTCCAGAACTGAGAGGGTGGGGTCACCTTCTCAGCCTCATTCTCCATGTTGCCCCCAAACCCCAGCTCCTCCACCATCCCTCCCTGCTTCTCTCTCAAAGCCATCTCCTTTCACCACGCTCTCCTCTCCACATTCATGTCTTCTCCACAAACCTAGTGGAAATTTTTAGAACTAGGCTAACAATCGTATTTTCCTCACCTCCTCCTGCTTTCATTCTCGGGAATGTCAAACTCCAAGGTAATGTGCTTCCAATGCTAAGGCCTCCCAAGATTTCCATCTTCCTGGCTCTAGGAATGTTCACAAACTCCGTTCACTGCGGCCTTCAAGGTGTGTGGTGAGGCAGAGATTCAGAGTTTTCCACCAGTGTCTTCTACCCTGCCTTTTGGTTATCAGCTGAGCACATGGCTTCCCAGAAGAAAAACTGCATTTCCCAGACCCCCTTGGAGCTGTGAGGCCATAGGCATAAGGCTGGTCAATGAGATGCAGGTGAAAGTGATGGGTGTTCTTATATGGAGAGGCTTGTCTTTCCTCCTT
Source organism: Homo sapiens (assembly GCF_000001405.40). Classification (NCBI taxonomy): domain Eukaryota; kingdom Metazoa; phylum Chordata; class Mammalia; order Primates; family Hominidae; genus Homo; species Homo sapiens. Next base: position 149,630,952 of record NC_000007.14, read on the forward strand.
CCTACTGGCTGGGAGGTCGATGAGATGCTAATGTGGGTGATGGCATGCTGGAATGAAAGCCAAGCCAGCCAGACAGCCACAAAGAAGAAATCGGGTTCTTGACCCTATGGAAAGCCATGCCTGGACCACCTAGCTGTGGACTTTTATGTGGGAGAAAAGGAAGCTTCTGGTTTGTTTGCTTGTTTTTGTTTTGCTTCCATCCTTTGTTATTTTGGGTGTTCAGCATTCATAGCCAAACCTGATCATCACTTAAACTATTCCCTTTCAAGATCTTAGAATCAGAAAAGTCCTTTTATGACACGTTTTCTGATGTTTACATGTTCTTACTGTTACCAAAAATGTTTCATTATCCTCATTTTGACCTTAATCTTGTCTACCTCTCTCTGTTCCCATGACCGCAGGGCCACCTTGGGGCTCAGCTATCTGCCTGCCCATTATTGATCCCATGTTTGGCCTCTCAGTCATGATTCCAGCTCCTTTGAGAGCTTGGTCTGTGGTCTATCTACCTCTCTCATGAGCCCTTCTGCTTCCGCGGATACACACGCCTTTGGCCTTTCCCACCTTTGCTCTGGGGAAGCCAGTCTTTGATGGAGTAAATTGTAGAGCCAGGCAAATGGTCCCACTGCAAATCTACACCAGTTTGACCTCAACCAGTGCCTCTCTCTAATGAGCAATGATTCTATTCCTTTCTAATTCACTTCTTCTCCATTTCCCACAGTGCCTGATTCACACTTTGCCCTTCTTCCCAAGTAATGATTCCCACCCTACCTCCTTTATTCTCTTTGGAAGACTTTGTTTTCTATCTGACTGAGAAGACCAAGGCCATGGAGGCCCCCCAGCATCCTCTGCTCTGCATCTTCACCTTCTCCTCATCCCCTCCAGGCTAAGAGGAAAAGCCTGCCTGCTCCTCTCTAGAGCACATCCTGTGTTCTTTATCCACCCTTTGGCTTTCCCTGGGATCTCCTTCCATTAATATATCCTCTCTTTTTTATTGACACATTTGAGCATATTCATATATGTACTGGCCATTCATGATATACAGGGAACCCTACAGGCACATCTTTGCAGCAATTATGGTGAACTGTGTGTGCTTTGATAGACATACAGGAGCCATGGAGCATGTGGCAGGGGTCCCACCCATCAGGAGGGTCAGGAGGGCTTCCCAGGAGAACACCCACCCAAGTGCTCCACTTCACTGAGACTGTGCTTGTCACAGTCCTTGGTGACCATGTGTCATGGGTGATTCTCATCTTTAATTCAAGCCCTCAGTAGCATTTTTTTTTCAATCGACATTGGGGCTGTCACTCTTTTTCTGTTGTTTTCTTTGTACTTCTCTGCCACTTTTCCTCAATCTCTTTTGCTGGTTTCTCCTTAACATCCCCATTTTTAAACATTCGAGGGCCCAGGTCTTAGTTCCTAGACCACTTTTCTTTTCACTCCCACTTCCTCAGTGCTCTCATTCCATCCTGCGGCTTTAATGGGATGATGACCCTCAAATTTATATCTTTAGCCAACACCTCCCCTTCGAACTCCAGCTTCATTTTTGACATCTCCATTAGACCATTTAACAGATGGATTCAATTTAATACATCACAGATTGAACTCCTGACTTCCACCACCCCCTCAAATTTCATTTCTGCTGCAATGAAAATGGCCATCTCAGAGAATGGCCCCCCCATCCCGCCGGGTGCTCAGGACAGAAAACCTTGGCATTATCCTTGACTTTTCCCTTTCTCTCACACCCTGCTCTCAAATCATCAGCAAATCCTGTTCACACTGCTTCAAAATATATCCAAAATCTGACCACTTCTCATTGCCTCCACCATCAGACAAAGCTGAAATCATCTCTCATCCAGGTTATGGTGACAACTTCCTGAACTTGTGTCCCGGCTTCCATACATGTCCTCTAGTGCCCTCAGGCCAGCCAGAGGACGAAATCAGCTTATGTTATTCCTCTGCAAGAAATCCTCCAATCACTCCCATCTAATCCAGAGTGGAAGCCCATGTCCGTACACAACCTATCCCAATGGTGACTGAAACAGACATGGGCTCTTGAAACTAGAGGAATAGATCAAGATGTACAAATGTTCACAGAAGTTAAAAATGGAAAATATGAGAAATACTAGATGGTAAGATGCAGGGATATTATAAGACTATTACTGGGATATCAAAGCGATTGCAGGAGGTAAGGACACTTTCCTTGAGGAAGTGATGTTTCATTCATGGCGTACTGGTAAGGTGAAATATTTGTGGTAGTTATTATGCATAAGTAGTGTGTATACCATTGGGGCTGATGTGAAAAATTCTCTCTCTTGGGTAGTGTGGCCATCCTGCTGGCTTTTTCCAGGGCACCTACTGTCCATTTTAGCCATAGAAGCTGGTGCTGGAGTTCACCTCCTTTGCCCAGCTAAGGCTTCTGCACAGTGAGATGAGGCAGGTAGTGACTCCCGCCCCAGGAAACTCTCACTGATCCCTGTGGTCTCCTTGGGCTGCCTCTGTCTGTGCCTTGTGTGTGTTTCACTCTCCCAGCCCCTTTTAGGACCCCCTGAGAGTCCACATTGGGACACCTGGAGCCAGTCTTCACCACATCATGCCCACCAGAGGAGACAAGTTCTCTTTTATGAAGATGGAATTTGCCATCACAAAAGAGGCTTGCCCATCTGCTCTCTTCTTCCTTGCTGAGGGCAATATTGCATAGTTTCCGGAAGGTGGGGCAGGGAAATTTGAGAGGAAAATTTGCCCAACTGACTTCTTTTCATCTATACTTTTACTTCCTTGGGCTCTTAGGTCTCTTACTACCTCTGGTTTTGTGAAGAGCCACCCCCTGGCAAGGTCAGTCATGCCTGGAGTTCCCATGCCATGTAAAATTGTCTGTATGCTGGTACAAGGACTCCAACTATTGCTAACCTTCTAGTCTCCTTACAGTTAGCACATTGGTCTGAGTAATTTATGTAATTTCCCTATTGGAAGCTTAGGGCAGTTTCCGAGGGGAATTCTAATGTAGGAGGAAGAGGGGACTCTGGGGTAGGGTGGCCACAGTGTGCAGTTGATTCCTTGTTGATGTTCGCTCCAGCATGAGCTGCACACCAGCTGGCTACTTCCACAGGCACACTCAATGCAGGAAGCCATCTCCTAAGGACAGTCACTGACTCTTTTTAGGGCCACCACAGTGAGATCCAGACTGAGAAGACAGGAGCTCGCCTGGTACTTGGGGTCGTAGGACCATTTCAGGCAGAGAGGGCTTCAGATTCCTCCTTCTTCATGCAGGGGCCATTGGATTCGTACAAGAGCTGCATTAGTTGCTCTCTTTCTTGCTCTTCAGGAGGGCTTCCTAGCAACTGCCCTGCTGCCCCCACCCCAACTCAGCCATCTCTCTCATACAGGGAAGACGACTTGTCTATTTCTCTTGCTGTATATGTGGTTTTATCACTGAGCAGGGGACTTGTCCCTTCCTTGATCGTCTTCCTCGAGGTATGACTAGAAAGACCTTTCTCTGCCTTTAATAATGCTGACACCATCATTTTGACCTGATTGTAAGCCCCAGCTGACTCGGGAGGGCAGCATTGGCATTTTTATTTTTACTGATTCCTGCACAGTTTATACACCTCCTTGGGCATGGTACTACCTGACTATACTAGGTCCTCACCATCCGAGAGGCCTCTGGGGAGGCAGTAGGTCAGGGTGGAGAAGGCACGTGTGGAAGGGGGTGCTGTGGGACTCAACTCAAGTGTGGCTGAGGGACAGGGGGTCAGGGCCTGGGTGCTGGGCACAGGACACAGGCAGCAGGGATGCCCCGGCCCATTGTGGGTGCCTTTTGCCCTCAGACTCACCACCCCCATGGTGATGTTCCAGCCGGGTGGACAGTGGACAACTGCTGTGTGAAAAAAGAGTGACAGCATCAGAGGGGAGGGGCTGAACACTGGGAGGGATGAGAGCTGCCTGGAAGGAACGGGGCAGAGGAACTGGATGAGAGAAAGCCTGGGAGGATCTGAAGAAGGAGGAGGAATTAGGACAATGCCAGCTGCAGGAGGCAGAGAAGACTTCCTGGGGAATATTTTATCAATTTCTCTCTTTTATTTTTAACCACCCAGAAGGCTCAGTACCTGGAAGGCTGGAAACATGGACATTGAGTTATCACATGTAAATCGGAAAAGAGAAGATTCCCCCACCCGCTCCCTGGTTTCTTCACCTGCTCCCAGGGGGTTACCATTAACTATTGGTCTATTATCATTCTTTTTTTATGGCCACACAGTATTCTATGGTATATATGTGCCATGGTTTTGTAATACTGAGTATTATTATTTAAGTAACTTTCTTTTACAAAAGCAATTTGCTTATCACTTGGAAAATTATCATGAACAGTATTGTATGTCAAATACAAGTCCCAGACACAGGCACTGGGCCTCCTTGCAGTGCATGGGAAGGTGGTGTCACCCAGTTAGAGTTCTGTCCCCAGTCTAGCACACCTCACATGATGCTCAACAACTGCTACTGTCAAAGAGGATTATCTGGATGACTTGAAGGGTCTTTCCAGTCATAAAGGTCAACAAGGCCACCAGGGTGTCCTCAGCCAGGTCCACACAGAAGCGATGGGAAAAGAAGTGTTAGTGACAGGAGGGAGGCCAGAATTCAGAGAGACAGAACTGGCCTGGACATCCCAACCTGCAGAGCTGAGTCGTGTTCTTGGTGTGTCGACACATGAAAAGGGTGTTAATTACACCCTCTCCCTGGGCCTGGGGGTATAGCTCAGGGGTAGAGCATTTGACTGCAGATCAAGAGGTCCCTGGTTCAAATCCAGGTGCCCCCTACCCTGTTTCACTTTTAATCACCAAAGTGGGTCCTGGATCACATGCTCCTCTCGGGCTCTCTCTATTAACTCAACCCTGGGCAAGATATGACCAGGCCTGCTGCCCCCTCTGCTCCTACTCCCCATCTGCTGAGCCCTCAACAGGCCCAACGAGATGCCCGCCTGCACCCCCTCCCCCGCCCACCCCGGTCCCCGGAAATCACCCAACTGACTTCCAGTTGAAAGTCTAGCACTAAGAGGCACTAAATTTGCACCATGGACCTCTTGACCTGCAGGCAAATGCTCTTCCTCTGAGCTAGAAACCCACTTCAGATGAGTTCCCAATGGACACTGCTTAAGGATGTCGCCTGCCCAAGGGAGGGATCCTCCTGAAACCCACAATAGTTTCTGTTTACTCCAGGTCAGGTCCCATGTCCTAGCAGACCTATCTCATACCAACCAACCCTCTCTGGCCATTGGCTCTATCCCTCTCCCACTGACCCCTCATTTGAGTCCCAGAGCCTCCTTTGTACTGTGTGGTCCATTCTCCTCCTTCTGTCTCAAGCTGAGTGCGTAAGCTTTGACATCACTTCTTGCTGGAATGATCATCCACTACATCTCTCCTTCCTTTGCCTCTTCCTCATGGACATTTATTCTAAAATCAACCCCATCCACCCCACCCTCACCCTCACCCTTTAGACAATGGCTGGATTTTGCTTCTTTTCTTTTTTTTTTTTCTTTTTTTTTTTGATGGAGCTCATTCTGTAGCCCAGGATGGAGTGCAATGGCACGATCTCTGTTCACTGCAACCTCCACCTCCTGGGCTCAAGCTATTCTCCTGCCTTAGCCTCCCAGGTAGCTGAGATTACAGGCATGCGCCACCACGCCCGGCTAATTTTTGTATTTTTAGTAGAGACGGGGTTTTGCCATGTTGGCCGGGCTGGTCTCAAACTCCTGACCTCAGGTGATCCGCCCGCCTCGGCCTCCCAAAGTGCTGGGATTACAGACGCGAGCCACCCCCCTGGCCCTTTTTTTCTATTTTCTACCTTTTCCTCCTCTTTTATCCCAAGGCCAAATTCAAGGCCTTGGACTGCAGGGCTGACCCTAGGGGAGGTGGAAGCTGCCCTCCTGGTGAGCAGCCCAGTTGTCTCAGAAGGTGTCACTCAGCAGGTCAGCACATATGAGGGATAGGGATTGGGCGTAAGCCTGTCTGTCTGGGGGTCCAAAGCCCAGGCCCAAAGGGGCTTCTGAACTGGGATGAGGAATCCCTCCCTCCAGTGGCTGAGCCACGGCCCCAGGCACGTGAGAACACAGGCAAACCGGGCACCTTCCCTGGCAAGACACATCCACAGGGACACGTGGTGCTGTCCCTTGCTGTAGTCAAAGGCCACGTAGATTCCAGACTTGTGGCACAGGGGTCCCGATTGGTGGGAAAGCCCCTAGATATTTTCTGTTACTACAGTGAGTGGGCAGCTTTGGCACTTGGTGGGCAGCGGCCAGGGCTACTGGGAGTTCTATGAGACACTTCATCAGCTGGGAGAGGAGGCTGCTTTTGCTGTCATGGAGATTTGGCAGAGTTTAGAGTTTGTTTGGATGTTTGTTGTGAATTCTCCACATCTTCTCGTAAATTCTCTCTACAGTTCTTGGATTGGTGTTCTTTCCTGAAAAATGCCCCAGCCTTCACATGAGAGCCCAGGGAGGCTGTGCATTTAACTGAATGCAGCAACTGCAAGATCCAATTTTGCCTCTGGTTTTCTGCTATGACACACGGGAGCCTTAGAAAAGATTCTCTCAGCATAATGCTGGAAGCTCTAGGAACCCTTCTGCGCGTTGCATGGAGAAGCTGGGCCTTTGCTCTAGCCTAGTAGTTCTCCATGCATTAGAATCGGCTCCCTACCTGTAGCTTCTCCTGTTTTATGGCAGCTGGATCTCTTGCCCTCAATGGGCTCCATTGCAGCCAATCACAGGCACCAGTGTATGTAGCTCTTCCGCTGTTGTGAGCCCTGGTCTGCTGGATTCCCATCCAGGAAGAACCAGCTGGATTTTTATTGACTTCAGTACAACTAGATCTGGCAACTCCAGTGTCCTCCCACATACCCATTTCTCTGAGGATCTCTTGCTTGCAAATCACACCTGGTACCAATTTCTGTTCTAGGCACAGACACAGGCACAAAACTAGAACCTGACTTTGTCTAATGGAAACAGATGAAACCATCGCTGACAGCACCAGGAGCTCACAGCACTGATGGGAAGGTGTGAACCTAGAATCACGGCAAGGTCACAGCAGAGAGTGTGCTGGCCAGGGGTCACTGCAGCCCTGCCGGATGCTGGATGCAGCTGCTAGCCCTGTTGCTAGACCAGAGCTCTGCCATCTTGGGATGCAGCTTATCAGCCTTGCTCTGCACATCGTCCAGTCCACATTCAACATCTGAGCAGGTCCTTACCACCCGAGGTCGAAGCGGGAGTATTTGGCACACCTATTTGATGTAGCATGTTGCAGAGCTATGCTTTCCCCCAAGACTCACATTATTTTGGGTTCCTAAAGTCATATAATAATACAAACATCCACCTCAAGCCACAAGAGAGGGACTGAGTCAGCACCAGAGGGCTGGGTGGCAGCGCCCGTTGCCTTCCTCCTAAGTTTTCAGAACAACAGCTGGCTCAGGGGATAAAAGCATCAGAGCTAGGGGACAGCTGGATTTGAGCCAGGGACCTCTTGATCTGAGTCAAATACTCTACTCCTGAGCTACACTTTCTCTCTGCTGTAACTTAGGTTTAGCATATTGACCACTGTGGCCTCACCCACAGACTCCAGCACACTGTAACTTCCATTTGCTGCTCTTAGTCTACCCCTGGCACCCAGCAGATTGATCTCACTACACACTGCCTCTTTGGGCCATGAGCTCACCCTGTCCTGTGCTTCTTGTGAACTCCAGAAGTCTCCTCCGCCCTGACCTAAGGTTTCCCTCCCTCAGTACCCATCTGGGGTCACCACCACTTCCCTCACCCCAGGACCACTGGATGTGCTTTTGGGTTTCTCTACCATATACTCCTCTGCGGTCTTCTTCCCTCATCCTATGGCCAAGACTTGGCAGGGTCTGCAGAGACTTGCTTGACACTGTGGGAGACATTTGTCCAGAAAGGCTGCCATCTCCATGCTAGGCCAAGATGCAGCCCCATCTCTCACAGGAGGCCCCACACTGGCAGGTCAGCACAGCTGGGGAGGCACCAAGCCTGGATATCTGGAGGACTTAAAGACCAGGCCCTAAGGGCCTCTGAACTAGGACTAAGGACTCTCTCTTTGTCCTGCCCAAGCCCTGGCCTCCCTGGCAGCAGGACAGACTACACTGAAGAGTGTGCACCTTTTCTCTGTCAGGCAAACCTGTAGTGAGGGATGCCACTGCCAGACCATCCGAGCACCTAAGACGCCTCATGGATGCCAGGATCTCAGCCACCCCGGGGGCTACTGATGATGTGGCAAAGATCTGTTAGGAATGGATTCAATAATTCTTATTACACAGACAAGTTCCATGTGAGAAAGAAAGAAGGAGTGAGAGAGAGAGAAAGAAAAAGAAAGAGGAGAGACAGAAAAGATGAAAGAAAGAAGAGAAAAAGAGAAAGAAAGAAGAAAGGGAGAGAGAAAGAAAAAAGAAAAAGAAAAGAAGACAGAAAGAAGAAAAGAAAAAATACTAGTTTTCTTGAAAATCTCATGTCAGTACCTCCTGGCCTCTTCTTGAGTACATTATAGATTCTCAACAAATGCTTGTTGACTTAAAAATACATAGAACATTTAGGAAACACAAATAAAAATCAGGAAGAAAACAAATACTCCTATAATCACACCAGCAAAATAACTCCTGTTCAGAGGTCTGTTTCTATTCTTCCAAACTTAAAATGCACAGCCTTGGGCAGAGGACTGAAGTGCTTGCTGCCACAGGGTTGACCCAGGCCCAGCTCCTTGGTGCTGTCCCGTCAGCTCCCTTTCTGTTGGGAGCTGCCTTTCTCCCTTAGCAGTTGTCCCCTGTCCTGTTCTGTAAGCATAAGAATTTTGAATTTAACAGCAGGCATATCCCTGAATTTATCTTCCTTTTATATCAAAATTATTGTAATTCTTTAAAAGGTGGTAGGTACTTTCATACGGGGCTGCTGGGATGAATTGCAATTGGGGTATCTTTTCTGGAAGGCTGCTTGGCAATAAAAATGTTTAAATATCTGCATTTGCTTTGTCTCATATGAGTGTGCAAAAATGTACATACATGGTTGGTCATTGTAGTGCTCTTTGTAAAAACGAAAAAAGCTGTGCCGGGCGTGGTGGCTCACGCCTGTAATCCCAGCACTTTGGGAGGCTGAGGCGGGCGGATCACGAGGTCAGGAGATCCAGACCATCCTGGCTAACACGATGAAACCCCGTCTTTACTAAAAATACAAAAAATTAGCCGGGCGCTGTGGCGGGCGCCTGTAGTCCCAGCTACTCGGGAGGCTGAGGCAGGAGAATGGCGTGAACCCGAGAGGCAGAGCTTGCGTAAGCGGAGATCGCGCCCCTGCACTCCAGCCTGGGTGACAGAGCAAGACTCCATCTCAAAAAAAAAAAAAGCTGCATAGACACACATTCTGTATAGGTGCTGAGAACTCCATGAGAAGACCATTTGAACGGACACTGTGTGTGGCTCTGCAAGCTATGAAGGCAGCCACTGCCACCCAACATGTGGTGGTCAAGGGCAACTTCTAGCCTCTTCCCCTTCATCCTCAATTTGAAGTAGAGAATTCATTTTAGCTATAGCGTCTGTCACTGGTTGACAAAGACATGCAATTAAAATGGTTCTCAAAGATGCCAGAGCTCCAGTAAATAAAGTGCTTCTAAATAATGTATTGAAGGGGTTTTCTCCTAGCCATTGTGTTGGTGGAAGCTATGGGGCTGGGAGTGATGGCATGTCACATGAATTTAGTACATTTGACCTTTCCAGTCTCTTCAACTCTAGAGTTGGCTAGGCATAGTGGCTCACTGGCTGTAATCCCAACACTTTAGGAGGATGAGGCGGACGAATCACGAGGTCAGGAATTGGAGACCAGCCTGGCCAATAGGGTGAAACCCTGCCTCTACTAAAAAATACAAAAATTAGCCAGGCATGGTGGTATGCACCTGTAGTCCCAGCTACTTGGGAGGCTGAGGCAGGAGAATCGCTTCAACCTTGGAGGCGGAGGTTGTAGTGAGCCGAGATCGCGCCACTGCACTCCAGCCTGGGTGACAGAGTAAGACTCCCTCTCAAAAAAAAAAAAAAAAAAAAAAAGTCTAGAGTTACTGTTCAGGGGTTTGCTGGCATCTCAATTTCATCTGTCTTTGAACAATTTTGATTTCTGATTTTAATCAGCAAGTTGAGCAAATAATAAAATAATCCCCAGCTGCTCCAAGTAAGACATCAAATGCAGAATTCAACAGCACTAAATGCAGTAGAATTTAACTGTTTCCACCCTCCTTAGACAAGTGCTGTCGAGAAATCACTTCTGCACACATTCCCCAGATTTTTGGTGCTATAAATCAGAATAGTCGTGATTATTTTTGTGTTGAAGCCTCTACCTTCAAGGTGTGACTTTGTAATTGACTCTGTTGGTATGCTAAGATTTTCTCAAATTATAGATCAAAAGAAAAACAGAGGGTGTGGTGAGGTAAGAGGCGGAGCAGCGCTGGAACAGGGGCAGCAGGAGAAGCAGGGCTGTCTTTAGCTGGCAGAGGAGGTGCAGAAGACTTCATGTTAGGTATAGTTTGGGTTCTACAAATCTTCCATGGATCCCCGTGACCATTCCTGGGGGTCTCACTCTTTCCAGATCAAAGCCCTAGATGTTCTTTTTAATTAATTAAATAATTAATTTGAGACACAGTCTTGCTCTGTCACCCAGGCTGGAGTGCAATGGCATGATCTCGGCTCACTGCAACCTCTGCCTCCTGGGGTCAAGCAATTCTCCTGCCTCAGCCTCCTGAATAGCTGAGATTACAGGTGTCCATCACCACACTCAGCTAATTTTTGTATTTTTACTAGAAACAGAGTTTCACCATGTTGTTCAGGCTAATCTCAAACTCCTGACCTCAAGGATCCACCTTGGCCTCCTAAAGTGCTGGGATTACACGCATGAGCCACCGCACCCGGCCCAGAGTCCTAGATGTTCACACTAGGAAGGCTGTAATTGAGCAATCTTGCAGAATCAAACACTGCCTTTGGCTCTCTGCTAAGCCTCATGGCTGCTAGAAAGGAGAGATTTTGGTTCTTTTCATTGGACTTTTTGTTGTTTCTTTCTCTAAGCTATCCCAGTACATCAGCTACACTGCCAGCTTCCAGTTCAATAACAAGAAGCAAATGTGTATCTGGAAGCCTGGTCCCTAGTGGGCACTTCATTCCAGATGACCACTAGCAGTAATTTTCTTAGTTATTTTGCCAGTGTGGGCTATAGGTTATACCATATTCCCAGGCCCAAAGATTAACTGGATTGCCTCCAAATTTAGCCTCAGCCAGTCTGGATAATCAATACCATTTTCATAATGGTCTGTTGCCTGAAACCCACTCCTAACACCAACTTATGTAGCAGGTAGAAAATCTGGGTACACAGCCAGGTGCGGTGGCTCACGCCTGTAATCCCAGCACTTTGGGAGGCCAAGGTGGGCGGATCATGAGGTCAGGAGATTGAGACCATCCTGGCTAACATGGTGAAACCCTGTCTCTACTAAAAATACAAAAAATTAGCCGGGCATGGTTGCAGGCACCTGTAGTCCCAGAGTACTCGGGAGGCTGAGGCAGGAGAATGGTGTGAACCCTGGAGGCGGAGATTGCAGTGAGCCGAGATCGTGCCACTGCATTCCAGGCTGGGCGACAGAGCGAGATTCATCTCAAAAAAAAAAAAAAGAAAGAAAGAAAAGAAAATTTGGGTACAAAACCAGAAGCTAGCTTTGACTACCTGAAACAGACAAGGTGACTGTTGTCAGGCAGTTCCTAACACTGAAAGAAAGCCTGGAACAAGAGGCTTAGGAGTTGGGCAGGATCCCAGAGGCACTTGGCAGCCAGGCTTTAGTCAGAATCACACCGGCACAACGGGCTGTGAAGAGAGACTTCACACTGTTCTGAGCATTAAGGTGTAGGGGAAAAAAGAGAGTGACTCCATACTGGATCCATGCCAGAGCTACCGCACCAGCAAAATAAACTCTAAACTCTTTTCATTTCTGTGTCTCACTCACTTGATTACCAAAGTCTGAGTGATGAATTCCCCTACGCAAGCTCGCTGGAGATGTCAGACAGCATCTCCATCTGCCGGAGACCCTCCATGCACCCAAGACCAGCTGTGTCAGAACAGCCAGGTGGCAGGGCTGCTTGCACTGCCCCTGCCACCAGCTGGAGGGGTTTCTCTTGCCCTAGGCCCTATACAAAGCCTTTCGGGTGGGAGCAGCACACCATGGGTAGTAACTGTGGTCTCTCAAGCCACCTCTGATGGTGGTGGCAACCAGGGCAAGGTGCAGGATGTGGTCTTTTCTGGGATATTCTGATGTTACTCAAATTACTGGATCTCCAGGAGCTTCACAGATGCAGCAGAGCCACCAATAATCCCAAATTATGTGGATATTTCCCACTCCTCCATGTAGTTTCCAGGCAAATAGCTGAAGGGCCTAATATGGGAAATCGGGCAGAAGGATTCACTGTCCGTGACTGGATATTTTGGCAGAGTCCTTTTCTCAAGCTTGGCTTCCCTATCATCAAGGGAGGCAGGTTCTTTGAGCAGATTCAGACCTGGGGAATGGGTCAGAGGTCAGGAACCTCCATTGTGCCAGCTATGGTGGTAGTTCAGGTCTACACGTCTAGGGGACCACGATGGGCTCCCCATTCTCCGGCCGAAAATCCTTACCACTGATGAGTCACAGCCAAGACCTGTGTGGCACAGACCACGGAATAACACCCAAACTTCACTTCGGGGTAAAGTATCACAGTGCTTGGCCTCTGACACCCTAGAATCCTCCCAGCCCCACTGAAATCAGGGGCTCCCTTTCCACTATCATCCCTCTCACTAGCATCTCTGTCCACACAGAATGGCTACCAAAATTATTTTCAAGAATGTAGAAGTGCTGCCAGGTGTGGTGGCTCATGCCTGTAATCCCAGCACTTTGGGAGGCCGAGGCGGGCAGATCACGAGGTCAGGAGATCGAGACCATCCTGGCTAACATGGTGAAACCCCGTCTCTACTAAAAATACAAAAAATTAGCCGGGCGTGGTAGCGGGCACCTGTAGTCTTAGCTACTTAGGAGGCTGAGGCAGGAGAATGGCATGAACCCAGGAGGCGGAGCTTGCAGTGAGCCAAGATTGTGCCACTGCACTCCAGCCTGGGCAACAGAGTGAGACTCCGTCCCAAAAAAAAAAGAATGTAGAAGTGCCACACATCTATGTATTTTTCAAGCCAGGGCAAGTTACATGTGATAAATCCACTCCAGCTTACCTACCCCCTGAAGTCTATGGATTCTTTCTACATTATAGCAAGAAATCCCTAGTATCTCAAATGCATTTAGAATTGGCCTCCTGTGAATCCAGGCTTAGGTCCACCAATTGAGCAAACAGGTTTATCCCAGCTGCTCCAGCTATGGTGTTTTAAATAGAATTTTAATTGGGTACCCTCCTAATAAAAAAATTCAGACTCATTTAAAATTATACTCTTTCTACTTTATAAAATACTCCAAGAATCCACATCTACATATGTTCTTGAGGTTTTTGCTGACATACATTAGTCAGTTGGAAATCATTTTGGTGTGTGAATCTTCGTCTCTCAGCAACAGGTGCCCAGGCTCAGCTGAGATCTTACTCTCACCGTAGGTCAAGAGACAATGAGGGGTGGGGAAATTGATCTCCTGCAGTGAAAACCCTTCCCTCTGGGCTGGTCGGCTTTCAGGCAGGAAGAAGGGGCAGCCTTGGACATTAGGTAGAGTTGGTGATTTGGGATAAATCAAGTCTTCCAAATGTTCCCATAAGTCCACCTTACAATTCCTGAAGTTCCACTCTCTTAATCACTGACCTGTTTTCAGCTGGGAGAGTGAGGGAAGCTGCCAATTCCACGGACATCAAAGTTTGGCACCCACAGGGATCAGCCTTGGCTCTCATTTTCAGCTGTTTCGCTTATTCGGTGGCAAGAGATCAGACAGTTTTGTGATACAGACAGAAAAAGGCCTGTGTTTCAGTCTACGTGGAACAGATCATACAGGGTGACAGGTGAGCTGACTATTTGCTTTGTTTAAACTGGTAGGACCAGCCACCCTGCCCAAAGGCCACTTATAATCTGGGAACTACAAATTGGCCCTGAGGGAACTGCAGGCAAAAGTTACTCAACTTTTCTACAATCTGATATGGGCTTCTGGATTTCTATCCCCCCAAACTACCTAGATTTTCATTACCTTCAAGTTTAATGAGGCCAGATTCCCAATCCACATTCCCTTCATTTCCCTGAAATCACTTTTTACACATCCCTGGTACCAGCCAGGGCACTTTGATTAAAGAAGAAGCCATCTAAGGTGAGTGGAGACAGGGACATCGCTGACAGGATGGCAAGAAGCTCATGCACTTCAGAGAAGCCTGCAGAGCCAGGCTCATCAAGTAAGCAGGACCTCAGCCCACCCTGGCTAGGGAGCCGCCACTGTCTCCACGATGGATGCTGGCTGCAGCCTCTGGCCCTATTGCCATTGCCAGAGCTCTGCCATCTCCAGAATGGATTCCAAATTCGCCCTGCCTTTTATGTACAATTTACTCAACATTCATAGTCTAATGTTTAGGGGCATATAGTTGGCCAAACATTAGCCATTACCAATTGTGCTGGTTAATTTTATGTCTTGGCAGGGCACAGTGGCTCATGCCTGTAATTCCAACAGTTTGGAAGGCCGAGGTGTGCAGATTGCTTGAGCCCAGAAGTTTGAGACCAGCCTGGGCAACATGGAGAAACTCCATCTGTACAAAAAATACAAAAATTAGCTGGGCGTGGTGGTGCGCACCTGTGGTCCCAGCTACTCCGGAGGCTGGGGTAGGAGGATTTCTTGAGCCCCAGGAGGCGGAGGTTGCAGTGAGCAGAGATCATGCCACTGCACTCCAGCCTGGGTGACAGAGCAGGACCCTGTCTCAAAAAAAAAAAGTTTTTAAATGTGTCAACTTGGCTAGGCCATGGTTCCCAGATATTTGTCCAAACCAATCTAGATGCTGCTATGAAAGTATTTTTTAGAGGTGATTAACACTAAATCCATAGACTTTGAGTAAAGCAGATTACCCTCCAAATTGTGGGTGGGCCTCATCCAATCAGATAAAGGACTTACGAAGAAATGTCTGCTGTCCCCTGAGAAGGAATTCTGCCTCCATGCTGTCTTTGGACTCGAGCTGCAACCTCAACTCTTTCCTGCAAGTCCAGCCTGCTGCCATGTCCTGTATCAGACTTGCCAGCCCCCACAATTGCATGATCCAACTCCTTAAAATCTCTACGTATACACACACACACACAAACACACACACACACACGCATGCACCCTATTGGTTCTATTTTCTCTGAAGAACCCCGACTCACACACCAACAATCGGGGGGAGGAAATATCTGATCTTATTGTTTTCCTTAACCAGAGACAGGATCTTGTCTTCCACCAAGAGTTACACAATTGTGAATTCCCCAAATGAAATTAAGAGGGTTGAGATATGCAAGAAAAAAAAAAAGTTCACCCCAGACCTATGAGCACTGATTTAGCTCTCAAGAAACTGGGTTTCTCTGGAGCTTCAGGTGTCAGGGGGAGCTTTCTAGTGAAGACCTGACCTGCCTCCTCTCTCTCCTGCTTTGCAGAATGGATCCATGTGTTGAAGAAAAGCTAAGAGTAGAACATCCTATCATGTTCAGTGAGTGAAAAGGAAATAGGGGGCCAGGTGTGGTGGCTCATGCCTGTAATCTCATGATTTTGAGGGGGCGAAGGGGGGCGGATCACCTGAGGTCAGGAGTTCAAGACCAGCCTGGCCAACATGGTGAAACTCCATCTCTACTAAAAATACAAAAATTAGCCGAGCATGGTGGTACGCGCCTGTAATCCCAACTACTCAGGAGGCTGGGGCAGGAGAATCGCTTGAACCCAGGAGAGGAGGTTGCAGTGAGCCGAGATCGCACCACTGCACTCCAGCCTGGGCAACAGAGTGAGACTCTATCTCAAAAAGAAAAAAAAAAAGTGAACTAGAGAAGGGGCACCTGGATTTGAACCAGGGACCTTTTGATCTGCAGTCAAATGCTCTACCCCTAAGCTATACCCCCACCCACTTACTTGTCTCTACTAACCACTATAAACCTGTATGGCCACACCCCTGGCTGTCACCATCATGAGATGCATACTTGCTCTGTCACCATATACCCCTTTCCTATTTTACACCTGCCTGCCAGCTCTACTTGTAACCAGCATTCTTCCTTCTTTAATTCTATTAAAATCACAGGTTTGCAGACAGAACATCCTTCAGACTCACCTAGAGAAGCAGGACTCAAAGAACTGGTTGCTCAACAGACCCTTTGGAGGTGAAGCTGGTCTGGGCAGAGCTGGGTAAAAGCAAAAGTTATTGGGCCCCACTTGAGGACTCCTAAGCCAGACTCTCTGGGAACAGAACTTGGATGACATGATTCTAACAAACCTCCTATACCACTCTGACACATGGTTTGAGGCTCCTGGTTTAAACTGTTCCCTTCCACGGTACAGATCTGGAAAAACTGATAGTAATTCAAATTGTGCCCAAACAAAACGCACCTGATTAATGACCAAGTCATGACTAGAATCCACATTCATGATAAAGGGCCTCTTTGCACTGAACACTCTGAGGCAGGAGTTGAATTGCCTTTTCCTTTCCTCTTCTTTCCTCTTCTCCCCCATTCGCTGAATCCCACGATGTGTCAGATAAAAGTAGTGACCAGAAGACAGGATCCAATCCATGGAAAAGTGGAGAAGTGGAGAATCAGAGAAATCTGTGGTCACTGGGACATGACACAGGACGCAGTGATTGCAAACACGTGGGCAGAGTGAAAGGAAGGGTCAACAAGTGACACCATCTTGAACCAGGGACTACTTGATATGCAGCCAGATGCTCTGCCCCCAAAAGGTGCCCTCTCAACTGTTTAGACTTTCCTGATTGACACTGTTTCACCTATGTTCCCACACCCAAGGATCTAATAGACATTGTAATTTCTCATCATTTTCAGTGAACCACTGGCAAATGACCTCATTCAGACAGACCTCTATCTGGCTTTGAATTTACCCTGTTCTTCCCCATGGACCTATCAGAGGACTTCTAGAAATCTTTCCTGCCTAGAATCCTGCAGCCTCCTCCTCAGTCCCTGTGTGGGGCAACCATTTGCACAATTGTTTAGAGTTGGAAGCTTCCTCTCTGTCTCCTAAATTTCACTTTCTCTAACAAACTTCCCATACTCTCTCTCCACTTCACTTTCATCCTCTGCACAGTGAGGTACTTTGGGCTTAGTCCTACATTTTTTTTAACTTTTGGCTCTTCTTCCAGCTCCTCATTTACTAGTCCTTGTCTTTAAAAGGAAGACACCTTACCAGAGGGGTCCCAGCCTCATGCAGGCCACAAACTAGTAGCTCAACACAACTGGAAGAGTCAGGGCCAGGCACAAAGGCTGGCTGTATGAGCCCCAAAACTCAGGCCTCCAGTATCCTCTGTATTAGGACCAGGATCTCTGTCTCTGTGGACCTTTTCCCTGGAAATTTCTACTATAAGACCCAAAGACCACACAGATCCTGAGGATGCAGGGAAAGGACGATCATCTAAAAGGGTGTAGCAGATGAAGGCAAGGAACTGTGGGAGTGATGACAGCAAGGCTGAAGCCAAACATTCACTGGGACTGCAAAGGATCATCAGGGCACTATGCAGTGTTTTTCTTTTTCTTTCTGCCTTTCTTTCTTTCTTTCTCTTTCTTTTTTGCAGTTGCAAGATTTAATAGAGTGAAAACACAGCTCCCAAAGTGGGTTGCCCCCAAATGGGGTTTTGCCACCCCCAGCTTGAATGCCTGGGTTTTATATCCCAATCATTGTCCCTCCCCCTGTGCTCTCAGGCGATATATGATTTGACTATTTCTTTACCTCCTGCTTTTAGCCTAATTTGTATTTTAGTGAGCCCTCTTTACTACCTGATTGGTCGGGTGTTAGCTGAGTTACAAGCCCTGTGTTTAAAGGTAGGTGCGGTCACCTTCCCCAGCTAGGCTCAAGAATTCTTAGTCAGCCTAGGAAATCCAGCTAGTCTTGTCTCTCACTTTTTCTAATTGTTCATTAACTAAGTCCTCTAAAGCCTCCAGTTTCTCTTTACTTAGCGGCCACTGTTCTATCCAAATTGGCTTATCTGTTAACCATTTTAAAGGTATAGGTTCTGGAGGCTTAACAATAGCCACCACCAAAAATAATATCCTAAACCTTGGTGGGAACTTTGTCTTTCTGCTTGAAGTGGTTCCTTCAAACCTTGCAAATTTTTTTCCTTGTCCCATACCGGGGACATACCCCATTTCATGCATCATATGTTGACTTTGAGGGCTGTATAATTGCTCTGGAATTAGAACTTGTGCTTCCCATTGTTGTAGTAATAAATCTCTTTCCCATAAATTTATAGGTACAGAAGTTAGAATTGGTTCAATAGTCCCAGGTTGTCCATCAGGCCCTTCACAATGCAAAATATAACTACTTTGGTATACTTCAGGGGCTTTACCAACTCCAGCTATGTTAAATTGAGCAGGTTGAATTGACCATGCAGATGGCCAGTGAGAATTGATTGAAATGTCCGCTCCTATATCTACCAAAACTTTAAATTTCTTTCCCTGAATAGTTATTTCACAGGTAGGACGTTTATCAGTAATTTGATTCACCCAATAAGCTGCTTTGCCTTGTTTATTTGTGCTTCCAAATCCTCCTGTTTGTTTAATTTCACTTTTCCCCATTTCCACATATGGCACAATTAGGAGCTGTGCTATACACTTTCCTGGCTCTGCTTTCCAGGGAACAGAAATAGATATAACAGTTTGAATTTCCCCATTGTAATCTGAATCAACGACTCCTGTATGTATTTGTACTCCTTTTAAATTTAAACTAGACCTTCCTAGAAGTAATCCTATCATCCCTGCTGGCAAGGGTCCACCGACTCCTGTTGGGACCTTCTGCAGGGGTTCCCCAGGTAGAAGGCTCACAGCTTTTGTGCAGCATTAATCTACTGTGGCACTACCAGCTGTGGTGGGGGACAGACATTGTACAGGGGTGAGGAAATGGCCTGAGCCGGAAATGCCCCAGTTTGGAATGGGGATCGGGATGGGCCCCTCATGGCGTTTCCCGAAATCAGATTCCCATCTTTATCAAACTTAGAGTGACACTGATTAGCCATTGTTTTCCTTTTTTACATTTTGGACATATTTCAGGCTCAGCAGTTTTCTTTTTTCTCCTATCTGGTGGTCTGACTTGCTGATTTTTTCTACATTCTTTTTTAGTATGACCATGCTTCCCACAGTTAAAACAAGCTCCAGGAAACGGAGTATTTCCTTTACCCATTCTCAGTCCTGCCATTGCCTGGGCTAGCAGAGTAGCCTTATGCAGTTTATCTCTGATACCATCACAGACCTTGGTATAATCAACTAAATGTGCTTTCCCTCTGATAGGTCGCAGAGCAGCCTGGCACTCAGGATTAGCATTGTCAAAAGCTAATAACCACAACACTATATCCTGAGCAGCCAAATCTGCAATCACCTTTTTAAGAGACTCCTGTAACCGAGCTATAAAATCTGCATATGGTTCTTTAGGTCCCTGTTTTATAGCACTAAAGGAAGGGTATTGTTCTCCACCTGAAGTGATTTTTTCCCAAGCTCAAATGCACACTCCTGCATAACCACTTGTGCATCTAAACCAGCCCAGCCACTGACCCCCAAAAGTTGGTCTGCAGTTATATTAATTTGAGGTTGGGCCTGGGCATTGTGAGCAGCCTGAATGGAAGCCTCATCTACCCACCAAATTTTAAACTGTAAGAACTGGGAAGGAGTTAGGCAAGCTCGAGTAAGAGCATCCCAGTCAGTAGGAATCATCCAACTGGAAACAGCAACATTCTTTAACAGTCCCATTATAAAATGAGAACCTGGTCCATATTGATTAATAGCTTGTTTAAATTCTTTGAGTAATTTAAAAGGAAAAAGCTCAATGTAGCTATAATATTTCCTTGTTGATCTGGGGGGTATATTCTAACAGGAAACTGCCAGGCCTCTATATCACCCTCTCTTCTAGCTTGCTGAATTCCTGCCTCAATAGAACTGAGAGCGGTTGCTCGAGGTGCTGCTCGAACAGTCACTGGGGCAACTACTTTTCAACCAGTGTCCTCTGGAAAAGAAAGATCTGGAGGGTCACACCACTCTTTTTCTTCAAAATAAGGAGGGGGTGCAGAAGGGTAGGGATGAACCTCTTCCTCCTTTGCCACTTTACCTTTAGCTGGCAAACAAATCTGCTCTGTTACTTAATTATACTCTTCTTCTTCCTGATCATCAGTGTGGAAAGGTTTCAAGGTAGAATGAACCAGAGCCCACACTTGTCCCATTGTTACCCTGATGCTCCCAAGCTCCCCTTCTTCCTCACCACAGGGATTGCTTAAGAGTACTCAGGTGTCCTCCAGCTTAGTTCCACGCTCTCCAACCATCGCTCTGGTGACTCTTCCACCTGGGTTCGAGCCCCACATATGGGCGCCACTTGCCGAGAACAGCTCAGTTGTGGAGACCCTAACCCAGTGGCTCTAGAGGAATTAAAGATGCACACACAGAAATATAGAGTGTGGGGTGGGAAATCAGGGGTCTCACAGCCTTCAGAGCTGAGAGCCTCGAACAGAGATCTACCCACATATTTATTGACAGCAAGCCAGTGATAAGCATTGTTTCTATAGATTATAGATTAACTAAAAGCATTTCTTATGGGAAATAAAGGGATGGGCCGAAATAAAGGGATGATCTCTGGCTAGTTATCTGCAGCAGGAACATGTCCTTAAGGCACAGATTGCTCATGCTATTGTTTGTGGTTTAAGAATGCCTTAAGTGGTTTTCTGTTCTGGGTGGGCCAGGTGTTCCTTGCCCTCATTCTGGTAAACCAACAACCTTCGGCGTGGGTGTCATGGCCATCACGAACATGTCACAGTGCTGCAGAGATTTTGTTTATGGCCAGTTTATGGCCAGATTTGAGGGCCTGTTGTCAACACTAAGAAAAATAATAGGGAAGATCTAAATAAATAAACTCAGAGATGAAAAAGGAGACATTGCAATTGATACTGTAGAACTCCAAAGGATCATAAAGGCTACTATGAGCCTAACCCTAACCTAACCCTATATGCCAATAAATTGGAAAACCTAGAAGAAATGGATAAATTCCTAGACACATACAACATACCAAGATTGAACCAAGAAGAAATCCAAAACCTGAACAGACCAATAATAAGTAACGAGATTGAAGCTGTAATAAAATCTTCCAGGAAAAAAAATCTCAGGACCTGATGGCTTCATTGCTGAATTTTACCTAACATTTAAAGAAGAATTAATATGAATCATGCTCAAACTATTCAAAAAAAATAGAGGAGGGAATACATCCAAACTAATTCTATGAGGCCAGAATTACCCTGATACCAAAATCAAAGGCACATTAAAAAAAAAGAAAGAAAACTACAGGCCAAGATCTCTGATGAACATTGATTTAAAAAATCTTCAACAAAATACTGCAAATCGAATTCAACAACACATTAGAAAGATCATTCAGGCCAGGCGTAATGACTTGTGCCTGTAATCCCAGCACTTTGGGAGGCCAAGGTCGGTCGATCACTTTGAGCTCAGGAGTTGGAGACCAGCCTGCACAACATGGTGAAACCCTGTCTCTAAAACAACATAAAAATTAGTTGGGCTTTGGTGGCACATGCCTGTAGTCCCAACTACTTGGGATGCTGAGGCTGGAGAATCACTTGAGCCTGGGAAGCCTAGTTTGCAGTGAGCAGAGGTCATGCCACTGCACTACTGCCTGGGTAACAAAGTGACCACCATCTCAAATAAATAAATAAATAAATCATTCATTATGACCAAGTGGGATTCATCTCAGGGATGCAAGGATGGTTCAACATATTGCAAATCAGTCAATGTGATACATCATATCTACAGTGAAGGACAAAAAACATATGATCATTTCAATTGATGCTGAAAAAGCATTTGATAAAATTCAACATCTCTTCATGATAAAATCCCTCAAAAAACTGAGTATAGAAGGAACATACCTCAACACCATAAAAGCCATACGCAACAGACCCACAGCTACTATCATACTGAATGAGGAAATCTGAAAGCCTTTCCTCTAAGATCTGGAACAAGACAAGGATGCCCACCTTCACACTGTTATTCAAATAGTACTGGAAGTCCTAGCTAGAGCAATCACACAAGAGAAAGAAATAAAGGGCATCCAAATTAGAAAGGAAGAAGTCAAATTATCCTTATTTGTAGATGATATGATCTCGCATTTTGAAAATCCTAAAGACTCCACCAAAACCTATTAGAACACATAAATTCAGTAAAGTTGCAGGGTACAAAATCAACATACAAAAATTAGTAGCATTTCTATATGCCAACAGTGAACAATCTGAAAAAGAAATTAAGAAAGTAATCTCATTTACAATAGCTACAAGTAAAATAAAATATCTAGGAATAACATTTACTAAAGAAGTGAAAGATCTCTATGATGAAAACTATTTAAAACATTGATATAAGAAATGGACAAAGACACAAAAGTTGAAAGATATTCTATGTTCATGGATTGAAAGAATCAATACTGTTAAAATGTCAATGCTACCCAAAGCAATCTACAAATTTAATGCAATCCCTACCAAATACCAATGACATTCTTCATGGAAATAGAAAAATTAGTTATAAAATTGATATGGAACCACAGAAGACCCAGAATAGCCAAAGCTGTCCTGAGCAAAAAGAACAAAACTAAAGGAATCATATTATCTGACTTCAAATTATACTATAGAGCTATAGTAACCAAAAAAGCATGGTACTGGCATAAGAACAGACACATAGACCAATGGAACAGAACAGAGAACCCAGAAATAAATCCATACATCTACAGTGAGCTCTTTTTTGACAAAGGTGCCAAGAACATATATCAGGGAAAGGACAGTCTCTTTAGTAAATGATGCTGGGAAAACTGGATGTCCACATGCAGAAGATGTCCCCTATCTTTTGCCATATACAAGAATCAAATCAAAATAGATTAAAGTCCTAACTCTAAGACCTTAAACTATGCAACTACTATAAGAAAACATTGAGGAAACTCTCCAGAACATTGGACTGGGCAAAGACATCTTAAGTAACACTGCACAAGTACAGGCAATCAAAGCAAAAATGGACAAATGGGATCACATCAGGTTAAAAACCTTCTGCCAGCAAAGGAAAAAATCAACAAGTGAAGAGACAACCCACAGAATGGGAGAAAATATCTGCAAACTACCCATCTAACAAGTGATCGATAACCAAAATTTATAAGAAACTAAAACAACTCAATTAAAAAATTTAATCATCCAATTGAAAAATGGGCAAAAGTTCTGAATAGTCATTTCTCTAAAGAAGACATACAAATGGCAAACAGGTATGTGAAAAGATACAGCTCAACATCATTGATCATCAGAAAAATGAAAATCAAAACTACAATGAGGTATTATCTTACCCCAGTTAAAATGTCTATAAGCCATTTTAACTGGGGTAAGATAATACCTCATTGTAGTTTTGAAAGGCAAAAGACAGGCAATAACAAATGCTTCTGAGGATGTGGAGAAAAGGGCACACTTGTACAACCACTATGGAGAACAGTTTGGAGGTTTCTCAGGAACCCAAAAATAGAACTACTATATGACCCAGCAATATACACAATAGACAAGATTTGGAAGCAACCTAGGTGTCCATCATCAGATGAATGGATTAAGAAAATGTGGCATGTATACACAATGGAGTACTATTCAGCCATGAAAAAGAATGAGATCCTGTCATTTGCAACAACTCAGATGGAACTGGAGGTCAATATGTTAAGTGAAATAAGCCAGGCACAGAAAGACAAACTTTGCATGTTCTCAATTATTTGTGAGACCTAAAAAAATTTAAAATCATTAAATTCATGGAGACAGAGAGTAAAGTGATGGATACCGAGGCTAGGAATGATAGTGGGGGCAGGGGGAGTGGGATAGTTAATGGATACAAAAATATAGTTAGATGGAATGAATAAGATCTAGTATTTGATAGTACAACAGACTGCAATCAATAATAATTTGTTGTACACTTTAAAATAACTAGAAGAGTATAATAGGGTTGTTTGAAACACAAAGAAATGATAAATGCTTGAGGTGATGTTTATCCCATTTACCCTGATGTGATTATTGTGCATTGAATGCCTGTATCACAATATCTCATGTATCTCATGAATATATACACCTACTGTGTACCCACAAATTTTTAAACTAAAAAATAATAAAAAGAAAATCAATATAATAAATCATATACATACAACAAAACAAAAATATCACATGATCATCTCAATAGATGCAGAAAAAGCATTTAGCAAAATCAAACAGCCTTTCATGGTAAAAATACTCAAAAACTAGGAATAAGAAAACTTCCTCAACCTGACAAAGGGCATCTTTGGAAAATCCCACAGCTAACATTGTACTTAGTGGTGAAAGACTGGATGCTTTCCTCCTAAGATCAGGAATAAAACAAGGATATCTGCTCTTACCATTTCTATTCAACATTTTACTGCAAATTCTAGCCAGGGCAATAAGCAAGAAAAATAAAAGTCATTCACAGTGGAGAAGAAGGAAAACTATACCTATGCACAGATAATATGATTTTATATATAGCAAATCCTAAGGAATTCACTAAAAACTTTTTAAACTAATAAATCAGTTCAACAATGTTGCAGGATATAAAGTTAATATACAAAAATAAGTCTATTTATATAAACTTACAATGAACAATCCAAAAATGAAATTAACAAGACAATTTCATTTACAATAGCATCAAAAATAATAAAATACTTAAGAATACATTTTACAAAAAACTTACCTGGAGCTAAAACACTGTTCAAAGAGATTAAATAAGATCTAAATAAAAGAAAAACATTCCATGTTTGTGGATTGGAAGACTTTATATTGTTAAGATGATGCAATAGACTGAAGGTTTGTGTCCCCCTCCCCACCCCCCAAAAAAATCATATGTTGAAACCAAATCCTTAGTGTGATGGTATTTGAGGTAGGACATTTGGGAGGTGCTTAGATTACGAGGATGGAACCCTCATGAAGGGGATTAGTGCCCTCATAAGAGACCCCAAAGAACTCCCTGTGCCTCTTTTGCCCCTTCTGTAGCATGAGGACACAGTGAGAAGATAGCCATCTATGAACCAGGAAGTGGGCCCTCACAGACATTAAATCTGCCAGCGCCTTGATCTTGGACTTCCCAGGCTCCAGAACTGCTAGAAATAATTTTTTGTTATTTATAAGCCACCCAGTCTATGTTAGTTTGTTACAGCAGCCACAACAGACTAAGATAATGATACTACTCATCAAAGTGATCTACAGATTCAGTGCAATTACTATCGGAATCTCAGTTGACTTTGTAGAAATTGGCATGCTGATTCTAAAATTTGTATGGAATTACAAGGAACCCAGAATAACCAAAACAATTTTGTAACACTCAAGAGAAATGAAAACAAATATTCACACAAAGACCTGTACATAAAAGTTTATAGCAGGCCGGGTGTGGTGGCTCACGCCTGTAATCCCAGCACTTTGGGAGACCACGGCGGGCAGATCACAAGGTCAGGAGCTCAAGACCAGCCTGGCCAATATGGTGAAACCCTGTCTCTAGTAAAAATACAAAAATCAGCCAACCGTGGTTGGGGGGGCGCCTGTAGTCTCAGCTACTCAGGAGGCTGAGGCAGGAGAATCGCTTGAACCCGGGAGACGGAAGTTGCAGTGAGCCGAGAATGCGCCACTGCACTCCAGCCTGGGCAATAGAGCAAGACTCTGTACCCCACCCCCCAAAAAAAGTTTATGGCAGCAATATTCATAATAGCCAAAAGGTGGAAAAATCCTAAATGTTCATCAACTGATGAATGGATAAACCAAATGTAATATATCCATATATTCACACAATGGAATATTATTTGGCCACAAGGGGAGTGAAGTCCTGCTACATACTACAATATGGATCAATCATGGAAACACTATGTTTAAGTGAAAGAAGGCAGTCACAAAAGACCATGTATTTTATTATCCCATTCATAGGAGATGTACAGAATCAGGAAATATATAGAGACAGAAAGTAGATATGTGATGGCCTAGGCTTGGGGGTGGGGAGTATGGGAGGATAGGATTATAGCTGAAGAGTATGGGTTTTGGTTATTTTTTTATTTTTTTTGAGGTGATAAAAATACTCTGAAATTGTCATGATGGTTGCACATACCTGTGAATATACCAAAAAACCTATTAAATTGTGTACTTTAAATGGGTGAATTGCATAGGATGTGAATTATATCTCCGTAACCCTTTTCAAACCTTTATTTACAAATCCAGGTAGAAGGTGGGATTTGGCTCTCAAGCTATGGTTTTACTTCTTTATATATATATATATATATATATAAATTTTTTTTTTTTTTTTTTGAGACAGGGTCTCACTCTGTCACCCACGCTGAAGTGCAGTGGCACAATCTCGGCTCACTGCAACCTCCGCCTCCTTCCTAACCAAGGAAGTGAGAGATCTTTACAAAACACTGCTGAAACAAATCATAGGTGACACAAACAAATGAAACACATCCCATGCTCATGGATGGGTAGAGTCAATATTGTGAAAATGACCATACCGCCAATAGCAATCTATACATTCAATACAATTCCCATGAAAATACCATCATCATTTTCCACAGAACTAGAAAAAAAATCAGCAGTGTTTTGTGGAGATATTTCGCTTCCTTGGTTAGGTATATTCCTAAGTTATTTATTTATTTATTTATTTATTTATTTTGCAGTTGTTGTTAAAGAGGTTGAGTTCTTGATTTGATTCTCAGTTTGGTCACTGTTGGTGTATAGCAGTGCTACTGATTTGTGTACATTGATTTTGTATCCCAAAACTTGACTGAATTCATTTATCAGATCTAGGAGCTTTTTGGATGAGTCTTTAGAGTTTTCTAGTTATATGATCATATTATCGGTAAAAAGTGATGTTTTGACTTCCTCTTTACTGATTTGGATGCCCTTTATTTCTTTCTCTTCTCTGATTGCGCTGGCTAGGACTTCCAGCACTATGTTGAATAGAAGTGGTGAAAGTGGGCATCCTTGTCTTGTTCAGGTTTGCAAGGGGAATGCTTTCAACTTTTCCCCATTCAGTATAATGTTGGCTGTGGGTTTGTCACAGATTGCTTTTATTACCTTAAAGTCCCTTCTATGCTGATTTTTTTTTTTTTTGAGATGGAGTCTTGCTCTGTTGCCCAGGCTAGAGAGCAGTGGCATGATCTTGGCTCACTGCAAACTCCGCCTCCCGGGTTCCCACCATTCTCCTGCCTCAGCCTCCCGAGTAGCTGGGACTACGGGCGCCTGCCACCACATCTGGCTTATTTTTTGTATTTTTAGTAGAGATGAAGTTTCATCGTGTTAGCCAGGATGGTCTCGATCTCCTGACCTTGTGATCTACCCACCTCGGCCTCCCAAAGTGTCTATGCTGATTTTGCTGAGGATTTTAATCATAAAGATGCTGGATTTTGTCAAATGCTTTTTCTTCATCTATTGAGATGATCATGCAATTTTTGTTTTTAATTCTATTTATGTGGGGTATCATATTTATTGACTTGTGTATGTTAAACCATCCCTGCATCCCTGGTATAAAACCCACTTGTTCATGGTTTATTATCTTTTTGATATGCTGTTGGATTCAGTTAGCTAGTATTTTGTTGAGAATTTTTGCATCTATGTTCATCAGGGATATTGATCTGTAGTTTTCTTTTTCTGTTATGCTCTTTCCTGATTTTGGCATTACAGTAATACTGGTTTCGTAGAATGACTTAGGGAAGATTCTCTCTTTTTATATCTTTTGGAATAGTTTCAGTAGGATTGGTACCAATTCTTCTTTGAATGTCTGAGAGAATTCAGCTGTAAATCCATCTAGTCCTGGACATTTTTTGTTGGAAATTATTTTTATTACTGTTTCAATCTCACTACTCATTATTAGTCTGTTCAGAGTTTCTATTTCCTCCTCGCATAATCTAGGAGGGCTACATATTTTCAGGATTGTCCACATTCCTCTAGGTTTTCTAGTTTGTGCACATAAAGGTGTTCATAGCAGCCTTGGATGGTCTTTTGTATTTCTGTGGTATCAGTTGTAATATCTTCCATTCCATTTCTAATTGGGCTTATTTGGATCTTCTCTCTTCTTTTCTTGTTTAATCTCAACCATGGTCTATCAATTTTGTTTACCTTTTCAAAGATCCAGCTTTTTGTTTCATTTTATTTATTTATTTATTTAGACAGAGTCTCACTGTGTTACCCAGGCTAGAGTGCAGTGGCACAATCTCAGCTCACTCTGACTTCTGCCTCCCAGGTTCAAGTGATTCTCGTGCCTCAGCCTCCTGTGTGGCTGGGATTACAGGCATGTGCCACCATGCCCAGCTAATTTTTGTATTTTTAGTAGAGACGGAGATTCACCATGTTGGCCAGGCTGGTCTTGAACTTGTGACCTCATGTGATCCACCTGCCTTGGCCTTTCAAAGTGTTGGAATTACAGACGTGAGCCACTGCAACCAGCTTCATTTATCTTTTGTATTTTTTTGTTTGTTTGTTTCAATTTCATTTAGTTCTGCTATGATCTTTGTTATTTATTTTCTTCTGCTGGGTTTGTCTTTGGTTTGTTCTTGTTTCTCTAGTTCCTTGAGGCGTGACCTTAGATTGTCTATTTGTGCTGTTTCAGACTTTTTGATGTAGACATTTAATGCTACGAATTTTCTTCTTAGCATCACTTTTTTTTGTATTTCAGAGGATTTCATAAGTCACTATTATCATCCAATTCAAAGAATTTTTAATTTCTATCTTGATTTCATTGTTCATCCAATGATCATTCAGGAGCAGATTGTTTAATTTCCATGTATCTGTACTGTTTTGGGGGTTCCTTTTGGAGTTAATTTCCAATTTTATTCCACTGCGATCTGAGCGAGTACTTGACTGATATAATTTCAATTTTCTTAAATTTATTGAGACTTGTTTTGTGGCCTATCATATGGTCTATCTTGGAGAATGTTCCATGTGCTGATGAGAAGAATGTATATTCTGCAGTTGTTGGGTAGAATGTTCTGTAAATATCTGTTAAGTTCATTTGTTGTAGGGTATAGTTTAAGTCTATTGTTTCTTTGTTGACTTTCTCTCCTGACGACTGGTCTAGTGCTGTCAGTGGAGTATTGAAGTCCCCCACTATTATTGTGTTACCAGCTATCTCATTTCTTAGGTCTAGTAGTAATGTTTTGTACATTTGGGAGCTCTGGTGTAGGTGCATATATAATTAGGATTGTGATATTTTCCTGTTGGGCTAGTCCTTTTATCATTATATAATGTCCTTCTTTGTCTTTTTTAACCATTGTTTCTTTAAGGTCTGTTTTGTCTGATGTAAGAATAGCTACTCCTGCTTGCATTTGGTGTCCATTTGCATGGAATGTCTTTTTCCACCTTTTACCTTAAGCTTATGTGAATCCTTATGTGTCAGGTGAGTCTCTTGAAGACAGCAGATACTTGGTTTGTGGATTTTGATCCATTCTGCCATTCTGTATCTTTTAAGTGGAGCATTTAGGTCATTTATATTAAACATTAGTACTGAGATGTGAGGTACTGTTCTATTCATTGTGTTAGTTGTTGCCTGAATACCTTTTTTTTCTTCATTGTGTTATTGTTTTATAGGACCTATAAGATGTATGCTTTCAGGAGGTTCTATTTTGATGTGTATTTCAAGATTTTGTTTCAAGATTTAGAACTCCTTTTAGCATTTCTTGTAGTGCTGGCTTAGTAGCGGCAAATTCATTCAGCATTTGTTTGTCTGAAAAAGACTTTATCACTCCTTCATGTATGGAGCTTAGTTTTGCTGGATACAAAATTCTTATTTTGTTTAATGAGGCTAAAGATGGGACCCCAATCCCTCTGGTTTGCAAGGTTCCTGCTGAGAAATCTGCTGTTAATCTGATAGGCTTTCCTTTATAGTTTACCTGATGGTTTTGCCTCACAGCTCTTCAGATTCTTCCCTTTGTCTTGATGTAGACAAGTCAAGACTTTAGATATGTGCCTTGGTGATGATTTTTCTGTGATGAATTTCCTGGGTGCTATTTGAGCTTCTTATATTTGGATGTCTAGATCTCTAGCAAGGCCAGGGAAGTTTTCCCTGATTATTCCCTCAAATCGGTTTTCCAAACTTTTAGATTTCTCTTCTTCCTCAGGAACACCAATTATTCTTAAGCTTGGTTGTTTAACATAATCCTAACTTTCTTGGAAGTTTTGTTCTTTTCTTTCCTTTTTTTTTTTTTGAGATGGAGTCTCACTCTGTCACTCAGGCTGGCTGGAGTGCAGTGGCATGATCTTGGCTCACTGCAACCTCTGCCTCCCAGGTTCAAGCGATTCTCCTTCCTCAGCCTCCTGAGTAGCTGGGTCTACAGGTGCACACCACCACACCCAGCTAATTTTTGTATTTTTAGTAGAGGCGGGGTTTCACCATGTTTCACTCCTGACCTCAGGTAATCCACCCGCCTCAGCCTCCCAATGTGCTGGGATTACAGGCATGAACCACCATGCCCAGACTGTTCATATTTTAAAATACTTTTTTCTTTGTCTTTGTCACAGTGGGTTAATTCCAAAGCCTTGTCTTTGACCTCTGAAGTTCTTTCTTCTACTTGTTCTAGTCTACTGTTGAACCTTCCCAGTGTATTTTGTATTTCTCTAAGTGTGTCTTTCATTTTCAGAAGTTGTCATTATTTTTTCTTCATGATACCTATTTCTCTTGGAGACTTTTTCATTCTTATCCTGTAGGGTTTTTTAAAAATTTCTTTAAGTTGGTTTTTACCTTTCTCTGGTACCATCTTAAGTAACTTAATAATTAATCTTCTGAATTCTTTATTTGGCAATTCATAGATTTATTCTTGGTTTAGATCCATTGCTGGAGAGCTAGTGTGATCTTTGCAGGGTGTTATACAACCTTGTTTTGTCATATTCCCAGAATTACTTTTCATTTGGATAGCCAGTTTCAGTGGAAAGATTTGGAACTCAAGGGCTTCTGTCCAGATTTTTTTGTCCCATGGGGTGATCCCTTGATGTGGTGCTCTCCTCCCCTCCCTACGGATGGGGTTTCCTGAGAGCTGGACTGCAGTGATTGTTATTGCCCTTCTGGGTCTAGCCACCCAGTGGGGCTACCAGGCTCTGGGCTGGTGCTGAGGAATGTCTGCAAAGAGTCCTGTGATGTGAGCCATCTTCAGGTCTCCCAGCTGCGGATACCAGCACGCTGCTCTGGTGGAGGTGGCAGGGGAGTGAAATGGACTCTGTGAGAGTCCTCGGTTGTAGTTTCATTTAATGCACTGATTTTCTTAAATGTTGGTTGTGCTAGCAGTAAAGCTGTCATGTGGACAGACTCAGGACCTCTGGTTAGGCAGGATGTTACTGGCAGTGGAATTAACTGTTGTTTTTGCCTTTGGTGAGGGATGCTCTGTTATACATTGCTGTAATGGCTTGAGTTAGTTGGCATTTAGGTAGGAGGTGGTGCTTTCAATAGAGCACCAGCTGTGATAGTAGAATGGGAATATAAGCTTGCCCTAAATTGGCCAGGATAAGTATTCAAGTTTCCCAGGTGATTGGTGGGGCTATAGAGCTCCCAAGAGCTTGTCTTTTGTCTTCGGCTACCAGGGTGGGTAGAGGAAAGCCACCAGGTGGGGGCAGTGTTTAGCGGGTCTAAGCTCTGGTACTTCTTGGGCGGGGCTTGCTGCAGTCACTGTAGGGCATAGGGTGAGTGGTTCTCAGGCCAACAGAGCTATGTTCCAAGGGGGATTATGGCTGTCTCTGCTGCATTATACAGGCTGCCAGGGAAGTGGTAGAAAGCCAGCAGTGACAGGCCTCGCCCAGCTCCCAAGCAGTCAGCAAGGCCAGTCTCACTCCCTCCATGCCCTGCCAACAGCACCGAGTTTATATCCAGGCAGCTGACACACAGGGCTGCAATCCTGCTTCAGGCTACAAGCCTCCCCACTGAGAAAGCAAGCAGGGTTTTCAGGCCTCATCCCTCCCTGTCTGCCCATGATGTCAGCTGCAGCTCCTGTACTCATACCTACACATCTCATTCATCCACTGGATTCTGCTCAGGAAAATTCGTGCTCAGTTGAAATTATTACAAAGCTCAACTAGAAGCTTCTTTTACCCTGTAGCCCCTCCCTAATTCTGCTCTCTGCCTTCCCCAAGGACCCCTGTGAGATAAAGTCAGGAATGGCTTCCCTGGGCTTGAGCTGGAGTCTGGGAGTACCTACGGGGCCCTTCTTACTGCTTCTTCTACTTTTATATTTTGCTCAGCTCCCTAAATCCATTTCAGCTGTACATAAGGTTAAATCCTACTCCTATGATCTGGGTTTTTAGGTTCCACAGTGAAGATGTGTGTTCAGAGGCAAACCTTCCCCACTCATACATTGGGAACTCACAGTTTTTTGTCTATCTCATAGAGTTTGCAGCAGCAAGCTGCTTCTTTAAAAGGGTCTGTGAGTTCTTTTGGTTTTTCTGGTGTGATCCTATGGTGGTTCTTGGAGCAAAAGTTCATGATGTGAATTTCCACATGCTGTTCTGTTTGTCCAGGTGGGAGCTGCACATTGGTCTTCTCTTCCATCCATCATTTTCTACACTCTCAGCATTTTAGTTTCCATGAACCAGTTTCTGTGACTGTGCATGCTTTCCATTTTGTCCAATTTTTGAATGTAAATGTTTATTGCAATAATTCTGTTCTTGTACCATCATTGTACTTGAGGTGTTCAATGGGTACAAATTTTCTCTTTTGAGTTCATAGATCTTTGAATCAAGAGTAGCCTCATCTGATTTAATATGGATCACAAGAGCTTGGACTTTGTCTAATTGAATGAGGCTTTGAGAACCTTGGGATAGAGGTGAGTATATTTTGCACATGGGAGAGATGTAAGTAATTATGACCAAGAGGGCAGTTCATGGTAGATGAAACTGTTGGCCCTGAATTTTGATTTATTTCTGCATCTGTGGCCTTTACCTTCTTTTCAGATCTTCCCACTGGAGGTGAAACATGCTTTCTTGCTCTTGAGTTACAGTTTGGTCTTGTGACTGGCCGCCTTGATCATTGAGGTGTTCTCACATGTAATGCAAATAGGGGCTTGAAAGCTGCTTTCATAGTTGGGCCTACCCCTTTGCATTTCTGCTGTCACCATAAGAAAAGTGCCCCTTGCTAGCTGCTACTCCTCCATCCGGGATCATAGAAGGAACACACATGGAGCAGATCTAAGCCCAGCTCAGACAGAAACCAAGCACAGATGGACCCACAGCTTGAAGCGGATACACGAGGTCGAGCCCAGCCTGCATCAGCTGATTGGCATCCATGCTGCTGACCTATGAGCATGAGAATACATGCTTATTGTTTCAAGCAGCCAATTTTGGGATGATTTATTATGACACATTGTTGTGAAAATAGCCTTGATACTTAGACCTGCCTCTCCCCCAACCCCTACTCCCATCAGGTACTGAGT
Source organism: Homo sapiens (assembly GCF_000001405.40). NCBI lineage: Eukaryota > Metazoa > Chordata > Mammalia > Primates > Hominidae > Homo > Homo sapiens. The sequence continues at coordinate 149,664,563 of NC_000007.14, forward strand.
AAGGGAACGGGAGGAGACCTCAGTTGAAGGAGTTCAGGTTGTGGCTACAAGGTAGAAAGATGCCATTAGACAAGTGACAGGAGGTTATTTGGGGAGTGAAGGAGTGAACTCATGGCCTGAAGAGCAGTCTCTAGTCATTTGTGGTAGGGCTGCCAATTTCCATAAGCTGGCCAGGAATTAATACAATTTACAGTGCACTATAGAATCCTTGGGTGTGGTGACACAGGTGAAATATGCTAAGGAGGAATGTCCACCAGGCAAGGGGGTATAGCTCACAGGTAGAGCATTTGACTGCAGATCAAGAGGTCCCCGGTTCAAATCTGGGTGCCCCCTGATGCCACTTAGCTGTGGGTTCTCTTTTTCTGATGTTAGGCTTGCTTGTCATCCTCACCACTGTCCTTCCTATAGCTTGTGTCAGTTTTCTCAGATGACTTCATTTTTCTGGCACAAGTCATGGTCAAGTCACTAATAATCTGCATGTGTTTCAGAAGTTCTAATGAGCTGCTCTTCTTTGAAGTTTATATTATGGCAGGACAGCCTGAATCAGAGGTCACCCAGTCTGACTTTGCATCAGAATTACTGATAGATCTTATAAAAAATACAGATTACTCCCTAGAAGTTCCAATTTAGTAGGACTGAGGAGGAATCAGAGAACTTCTACTTTTGGGGGTCATTTGGGGCATAATCCCCTGTTAATACCTGTTCTAACATCCAATAATTCTAAGTGGCTGGAAAATTGTTTTGGAACTTACAACAACTTGTCATTCTAAACAACATCCCAGTGGGAAGCATCAGTGATGTTCAAGCTAGTGCCTGCCTTCAGTCCATCACTGAGGGCATGTGGGGTGCTGAGCTGCAGGCATAGGCAGTGGCCAGGTGTGTAGAGGTGGGAGAGTGTGGGAAGGTGGGGGATGTCTGAATGAAGCTGTGGGCATGGTAGGAGGGTGACCAATTGCAATGGCACAGTCAGCTAGGGGTGGTGGCAGGCCATGAGTGATTACTCGACTCCCTGCATTGAAGTTCAGAATTGAAGCATGCTCAAGGCAACACTAGTTGTTTTTGAGTAAAGCATTTGATTGATGATCCACAGGTCCCTGACTCAAATTCATGTGTTCCCTACCTACACTAATTTCTTCCCATACTGACCAGAGTATTAAAAAACAATTTCCTTTCACCTCCTGAGGCCCCTGCACCTGACTCTTCCTGCAAGGTGGACGAGAGGGTAAGGAGGTTGGTTTGTCCCATGCTCCTCTCTACTTTCCTGCTGCCCCACGTGACCTGCCCAGATCTGCTCTGCATGCCTGATTCAGTCTTGTCTTGCTTTGCTTTGGTGAGCATTTCTCTTGTGTTTTCTTTTTTTTCTTCCTATTCTTCCCCATCCTGTGAACCCTCTGTCCACATTTTGAGGTTCCCCAGTTGTGTGAGGCACAGTGGAAGACATGGCTCTGCTTGCAGCACCCGAAGCTGAAGGAAAAAGCCTCTTTCTCTCTGTCTTCCTGGCACTTCTGGCCACCCAGTGCCACCGACTGACACAATGCATGCAGACTGAGTGACTTGTACAGGCAGAGACAGCTTAGCATTCATTCCTGGGCTGGCAGAGCTCAGGCACAGTCTGACACCTTCCTAACCAGTGTGACTTCCTGAAAGCCAGGCTGCCTGGGTCCCCCTGGATCCCCCGTTTCAAAAGCCCAGGCTTCCTGACACATGGACAATGGCCATCTCATCTGTTTCACTGGACAGAACCAGTTTCTGTAACGATGTACCTAGGCAGATATAAAAATTGCAATTGGAGAGGGGTGCAGAAAAAGGATCCTAAAGAAAATGGAGTGTAGGATGGACTTTCTGTCATGATTGGGATTGCAGAAAGTAGAAATCTAGTTGATTGTTCAAAGTTGACAATCTGGGAGCCCAAGGGTCTCAGGGATAAAGTAACTGAGTAACTGGTCACCTGGATTCAAGGCTGCTTACTCACCTGGTAGGTATTCAATGGTTGCTTATGGCTGGCATTCATTCTGATTGGTCAGTGTCTCTGCTGTAGCTGTTGTTAAATATTTCAAGTGTCACTTCTTCTTGGAATAAAGTTCCCACTGGAGGACAAAACTTTTAGAGACCAGCTGTTGTTACATAGCAGTAAAAAGGGCCCAGCCAAGTCTGACAGCATTAGGAAGCTCAAAGACATACAATGGAAAGCTCAGATGTCTACGCCTTCTCCAGACACAGATGGAATGTGCAGATGTCCCCACAACTACACCAAAACACTCAGCTCTTGATGCTGAATAACTGAGATTGCTGAAAAATGAAAAGGCAGAATTGCCAATCTGCAATTCTTGTTGATTTCACATTTCCCCATCTCTTGTGTTATGAATTGCTACTTCAGTGATAGCTGCAGGGAATTTTTGGAAGATGTCAGGAGAACTTCTCAAACTTGGAAGAAATTGCTACACTCTACTCTCACATTAGCCTTTGTTGGGATATTTTTCTGTTCCTGAGATAATGGTGCCAGGGAGGATAAAATGCTGAAGTTCAATGGTTCTCCCTGATTAGTTAACAAGAACACCAGGGAATGGGTTCTACTTACCAAATTCTACCTACGTGTGTGTGTGTGTGTGTGTGTGTGTGTATATATATATATATATATTTCTATATTTCCAATAATCCAGAAAGTTTTTTTCTAACAGTTAACTCATGTGCACACACGCACATTTGATATTGCTCATTTTGAGTGTCTATGGTGGCCTATCCTTTCTGCTTGTTATCTAAAAATAAGTTGAACTTTGTGATAAGAGAAACAGCCTTGGCACTAAGTGTTTCTAGAGTTTATTGGTTTTATTATTTCCAATAAATCAACTTTTGGCTTTGTTGCTTTTCTCTGATTGTATGATTGTTTTTTATTCCATTGATTTCTCCTCTGATGTTTGTTATGTATTTCTTTTTAATTTAGGGTTAAATTGCTGGTTTTTTTCTTGATATTTAGATATAAGCATAGATATAATGCTTGTTAAAACTCATACTCTTAGTTGAAGATATAAGAAAAGAAAAAAGGCTGAATATCAGATATCTGATACTCAGTTATCAGTTATATGAAATAAGAAAAATAAGGCTAAATATCAGATAATCTGATCAGTTAAGTGTATGAGTTTGGGCCAGGTGTGGTGGCTCATGCCTGTAATCCTAGCACTTTGGGAGGCTGAGGCAGGTGAATCATCTGAGGTCAGGAGTTCGAGACCATCCTGGCCAACATGGCGAAACCCCGTCTCTACTAAAAATACAAAAATTAGCCAGGCGTGGTGGCGCATGCCTGTAATCCCAGCTACTCAGGAGGCTGAGGAAGGAAAATCACTTAAACCCGGGAGGTGGAGGTTGCAGTGAGCCAAGATCACACCACTGCACGATGGGAGCGAGACTCCATCTCAAAAAGCAAACAAACAAACAAAAAAGAGCGTGAATTCATGACTTTACCTGTACCACATGAATTTTGATTTGTTATATCTTTGTTAACATTTGGTTCAAGATACTTTCTAATTTCTATTTTGATCTCTTCTTTTGCTTATAGGTTATTTGGAAGTGTATTGTTTGGCTTCCAAGAGGCTGGGGATTTCTAGTTATTTCTGTTTCTCATAACTTAGCCTAATTCAGCTATAATATGGTCCGAAAACATTCTCTATGATTTCAATCCTCAAATTTGTGGCAACTTACTTTATATCACCAAATATTGTTAACTTTGATAAATGTACTGTGCGCATTAAAATATATAAAATGTGCTATTGAATGGTGCACTGTTCATTATATATCAAATAGGTCATATTTTCTGGTTGTGTTATTCAGATTCTTCATATGCTTAGCAACATTTTATTTGCCTTTTCTATTAGCTACAGAAAAAGGTGTGTTAAAATCTGCCACTATGATTAAGGATATGTCTATTTCTATTTTTAGTTCTATCCATTTTTGTTTATTTTCACACTATATTTTTAGGTGCATTCAGATTTGGGATTATAATAGCTTCCTGCTAGATTGACCTCCTTATCATTTTTAAATATCCCCTCTATCTGTAGAAACTCTTATCAAGTTAAAGTCTATTTTGCATCATATTAATATTGCTATACTAGCCTCTTTGGTTATTGTTTGTACGGTGTGTTTTTATTTATACTTTCACCTGCTATATGTGACCCTACGCTTAAGTTTCAACTAAGCAACTTATAGTGTGGTTTTGTTTTCTCATTCAGTCTGAAAATTTTATATTTTAATTGGAGTTTTAAATACTTTTATATTATTTAAAGTAATTGGGTTATTTACTTTCAGCACTGTAAAAATATTGTTTCATGTCACCTGGCTCCCATAATTTCTTTTGGCAAATCATCTGTTAATTGTAAAATTTGATTTTTTTCCCTACTGATTGCTTTTTCAGATTTCTCTTCCTCTCTCTCTCTTTTTTTTTTTTATTTTTTCTTTGAGACGGAGTCTCGTTCTGTCACCCAGGCTGGAGTGCAGTGGCACAATCTTGGCTCACTGCAACCTCCACCTCCTGTGTTCAAGTGATTCTCCTGCCTCAGCCTCTCAAGTAGCTGGGATTATAGGCACATGCCACCAGGCCTGGCTAATTTTTGTATTTTAAGTAGAGATGGGGTTTCACCATGTTGGCCAGTCTGGTCTTGAACTCCTGACGTCAAGTGATCCGCCCACCTCAGCCCTACCAAAATGCTAGGATTACAGACGTGAGCCACCGTGCCTGGCCTCTTCCTCACTCTTTAAAAACATGGTTTCTTTTGGTTTTGTTTGTATGTTTTGTCCTCTGTCTTTTCCTCCATCACCTACAGATGGCGTTAATATTCTCCTTTGTTTTTATTTCCTTTTGACTAACTGAATTTCTTAAATAAGTGGGTTGATGTTTTCCATTAGTTTTGGAAAATGCTTGTCAATTATCCTTTCACATCTTGGTTTTGCTTCATTCACTTTCTTACCTCCTTTTGGAATTTCAATGACATGTAAGAACTTTTAACTGTTTCCCATTTATATCCTATTTTCCTTTTCTTTTCATCCATTCTTTACCTTTCTGTGCTTCAGTTTAGATATTTTTCTATTGATTTGTTTTTCTGTTCACTAATCCAGTGGTCCACTGTGACTAAGTTTCTGTTAAATGCACGTATTACAATTTTAATGTTAAATATTATAATTTTTGTTTTAGAATTTCCTTTGAATTTTTTCTTACAAATTAGAACGTGAAATTCACACTTTTCTCACATTTTTTCTATGTTCCTGTTTTCCTAAATATATTATCAAAGTTATTTTAAATTCTATGATATCTAGATCACTTGCTTCGACTGTCTGTTTTTCTTTTGGTTTTGTTCATATTTCTCTGACTGTTGATATACCTAGTAATCTTTATTGAATGCCAGACATTGTGTATTAAAAGAATAAAGGCTCTCAATAAAATTATTTTCTACTAGACAAAATTCACCCTCCTCCTCCTCTTCCTGCTCTTCCTGCTCCCTCCTCCTCCTCCTTCTTCTGCTTCTTCTTTTTTGAAAGAAGATAGAGTGGAGGGCTGATGATTTTAAACCAATAAGGAAATGAGTGGTCTTTTCTGCTAAGAAAAATGAAAATGTAATTTTGGTAATGCTCCTTCTATCTGTGACTTGTCCCACTTTTTGAGCGTTGCCCTACCAGGTTTGCAATAAAAAACCTGGCAGGTCTTTCTCTTCTCAACCGAAAAATCCACTCTTGTTTTTAGAGTTTGGGCTTATATTTCTGGATTCTTCCTTCATGGAGCTTCACAACTCAGCAATTTTCTTGAGGAGTGAAACCAGCTATGTATTTAAGGACTCTAAAGTCTCCATTTTCATGCTCCAGCATTGTACATCTGTTCAAAAGCTCCCTTGGTGTTCCTATTTCCTGACACATGTATGCTGGTGCCAACATTGGGAGCTCAGCCTCTAGCTGGGCTTAGAATTGGCAAGTGTCCCAGAGAAACAGTGGCTGCAGATCCTCAGTGTCAATTCACTACTTTCTTCAGGGCTTTCACTTTCTCCTGGCGTGTTCTTTCCCCTTTCTCTACCCCAGGAATTTTCATCTTCTTAGTACCATGAAATTGTTATAAATTCTGTTCTTTTTCCCAGAGATTTTCCTTAATTTTATAACCTCTTGCCCCACATAGTTTTAGAATTCTGAAAATGTCTAGAGGTAAAAAACAGCTATATGTTTAATGTCCCCCAAGTCTACAGTCTTGTCACAGCAACCCTGAGTGACCAACAAAAGTTTCATTGGGTTCCCAGTACCTCAGCAGCAGCCCTATGCTTGGACCTAAGGCAGATTATCAGCCTGCACCCAAGACTGGAAAATGCTCTCAGGTAAAATGTGACTGCAGTCCGTCAACTCACTTCCAAAAGGTTCTCTCCTCTCTGGAATTTTAGTTCTTCTAGTCCTTGCTGCTTCTGCAACTCTCTGATGCTTTTAAAATGTGAATTGCCTTTTTAAACTGGCTTTTCTAGCTTTCTTTGGCATGACACAAACTCCTTCATCCTATCTGAAAGAAAATTATACAAATGTGGTTTTAAGAATTATTTTGGGTAGAAACAGGAGAGCAACAAGTGAAAATGTCTGATGATAAAACTGAATTCCTTAGCTCCTATTTCCTTTCTTATTTTTAGGAAAGGAGTAGGATTATTTCTAAGTGAATACAGGAGGGCAAAGAGATGGAAAGCCTGATAGGACACCACCAAGCGGCTAGTGATTAGCTGAACTTTTCCCCCAGGAAGAGATTTGGTTCTTAACTATAAGTTTGGATGAATAGGCATCAAAATATCAACATTTGTTTAGCTTGTGGCATTATAGGTAATTTTACTTTTTTCTTGATGCTTATTTGTGTTTCCTAAGTTTTTAATCTTTGTAATATGTAATTTTACATATTGTTAAATCCTGTGAGGCACATTAGACAGATTCAAATAAGTTATATTATTAGTATTTACATTGAAAATATATTTCCTTGATAATCCAAATAATAAATTATTGCCCCAAGAATAAAACACTCCAGGGCAAAACCCCTTTTCGTATGGGAGCTGTTTTCACCCTATTAAATCTTGCAACTGCACACTCTTCTGGTCCGTGTTTGCTATGGCTTGAGCTGAGCTTTCACTTGCCGTCCACCACTGCTGTTTGCCGCCATCGCAGACCTGCCACTGACTTCCACCCCTCTGGATCTGGCAGGGTATCCATTGTGTTCCTGATCCAGTGAGGCACCCATTGCCACTCCTGACTGGGCTAAAGGCTCGCCATTGTTCCTTCACGCCTAAGTGCCCGGGTTCATCCTAATCGAGCTGAACACTACTCACTGGGTTCCACGTTCTCTTCCGTGACCCATGGCTTCTAATAGAGCTATAACACTCACCACATGGCCCAGGGTTCCATTCCTTGGAATCTGTGAGGCCAAGAACCCCAGGTCAGAGAACAAAAGGCTTGCTGCCATCTTGGGAGCAGCCTGCCCCATCTTGGGAGCTCTAAGAACAAAGACCCACCGGTAACATTTGGTGGCCTGTATGGGGATTCACCAAAGCGGTGAGTAATATCAGACCACTTTTGCTTGCTATTCTATCCTATCCTTCCTTAGAATTGGAGGAAAATGCCGGGCACCTGTCAGCTGGTTAAAAATGATTAGCATGGCCACCAGACTAAAGACTCAGGTGTGAGGCTTCCTGGGAAAAGGCTTTCTAACAACCCCCAACCCTTCTGGATTGGGAGCACTGGTCTGCCTGGAACCAGCTTCTGTTTTCACAATTTTCCTGGGGAAGCCGAGGGTTGACTAGAGGCAGAAAGCTGTCGTCCCGAACTCCCGCATTGGCCGATCGAGATCATGGTGCAGCCAGAAGTCTCTACTCAACAGTTGCCCATGCATGGGCCCCTACCTCTCCTTCTGACCCATACCTCCTGGGTCCTGACCACGACTTTCTTGAAAGTGTAGCCCCAAAATTCTCCTTATCTCTGATTCTACTTCTTCCGATCCCTGCCTCCTAGATACTAATGCTTCAGACTTCACTTCCTCTCCCGAGTATTAGAGCAGGTTGTATCTCCAAAGGGATCTAAGGAAGCTCTACACTGTGTCCTTAGGCACCTAGGCTATGAACCCAGGGAGTCTTGTCCCAATTTAGGCATACAGCTCTTGACATGGGCAGTTATGTGGGACCCATTCCCCACCACCCTTTCCAGGGCCTTAGAACTGACAACCCAGTACTTTAACAACTGGAACTGGATCTACAACAACATAATAGATCAGGATGAAAATGAATTGAGTAAATTAAAGGGAGGCGCATATTCCTATAGTGGCAAATGGGGGCAACGAGCCAATGTCCTTCCACTGTGTTTCCAAAATCCATCTACAAAGACAGAGAGGAGAGACAGAGAGGAGAGAAAGAGAGAGGAAAGAGAAGAGAGAGACAGAGAGGAGAGAGACAAAAAAACAGAGAGGGAGTCAGAGAAAGTCAAAGAGAGAGACAGAAAGTCAAGGAGAGAAAGAAAGAGAAAAATAGAAGTAGTAAAGAAAAAAAACAGTGTACCCTATTCCGTTAAAAGCCAGGGTAAATTTAAAACCTATAGTTAATAATTGAAGGTCTTCTCGGTGACCCTGTAACACTCCAATACCACCTTGTTGTCAGTGTAAACAAGGGCATAGCTCGAAAGCACTGAGGCCACTGACAACCCATAGCCTTCCTATCAAATATCCTTAACCCAGTAACCCATGGATGGGCTAAATGCATTCAGTCCGTAGCGGCAACTGCTTTGTTAAAAGTAGAAAAATAACCTTTAGAGGAAACCTCATTGTGAGCACACCTCACCAGTTTAGAGCTATCCTAAGTCAAAAAAAGCAAAAAGTTATCTTACTAACTCAAAAATCTTAAAGTATGGGGCTACTCTGTTAGAAAAAGGTGATTTAACACTAACCACTGAAAATTCCCTTAACCCAGCAGATTTCCTAACAGGGGATTTAAATCTTAATTACCATACAAAGGTCCAACCGGAACTAGGAGGAACTCCCTTCAGGACAGGACATAGATGGTTTCTCCCAGGTGACTGAGAAAAAAAATCACAATGGGTATTCAGTAATTGATAGGGAGATGCTTGTGGAAGCAGAGTTAGGAGAATTGCCCAATAATTGGTCTGTGCAAGCTGTTTGCACTCAGCCTAGCCTTAAAGTACTTACAGAATCAAAAAAAACCTCTCTCAATCCTGCCTCAAAAGTTTACCTACACCCTCTCTGAAAAGAATTGTTGTTTATGGGAATGCATCTTGATGGGGCAGCTGGGTTGTTACAAAATACTCAGGAACCCATCCCAGCTCTAGGACTCACCCCGAGCACACAGGCAATGCTGGACACGCTGGTAAAGGATCACTAGAATCCAGCAGCCCGGACCCCTTTCTTTGTAGTCAAGAAAGGCAGGAAAAGGGGTGCAGACTGCTACATCCGTGAGCGTAACTAATCTGATAAGCAGAGGCCCATGAGTGGCTACGTACCTTGGAAAGGAATAAGCAATAGGACCATAGAGGACACTGTAGGACTAATGCTCATCAGAAAATGACTAGGGGTGCTGGCATCCCTATGTTCTTTTTTCAGATAGGAAACTTTCCCCCCAAAGGAAAAACGCCCCTAAGATGCATTCTGGAGAACTTGGCCCAGTCAGAGTGCATGTACCTTTTTCCCTCTCAGACTTGAGGAAAATTAAAATAGACCTAGGTAAATTCTCAGATAACCCTGATGGCTATATTGATGTTTTACAAGGGTTAAGACAATCCTTTGATCTGACATGGAGAGATATAATGTTACTGCTAGATCAGTCACTAACCCCAAATGAGAAAAGTGCCGCCAAAACTGCAGCCCGAGAGTTTGGCGATCTCTGGTATCTCAGTCAGGTCGAGGATAAGATGACAACACAGGAAAGAGAACAATTCCCTACAGGCCAGCAGGCAGTTCCCAGTGTAGACCCTCACTGGGATGCAGAATCAGAACACGGAGATTGGTGCCACAGACATTTGCTAACTTGCATGCTAGAAGGACTAAAGAAAACTAGGAAGAAGACTATGAATTACTCAATGATGTCCACTATAACACAAGGAAAGAATGAAAATCCTACTGCCTTTCTGGAGAGACTAAGGGAGTCATTGAGGAAGCATACCTCTCTGTCACCTGACTCTATTGAAGGCCAACTAATCTTAAAGGATAAATTTATCAGTCAGTCAGTTGTAGACATTAGAAAAAAACTTCAAAAGTCTGCCTTAGGCCCAGAGCAAAACTTAGAAACCCTATTGAACTTGGCAACCTCGGTTTTTTATAATAGAGATCAGGAGGAGCAGGTGGAACAGGACAAACGGGATAAAAAGAAGGCCACCGCTTTAGTCATGGCCTTCAGGCAAGCGGACTTTGGAGACTCTGGAACAGGGAAAGGCTGGGCAAATCAAATGCCTAATAGGGCTTGCTTCCAGTGCAGTTTGCAAGGACACTTTAAAAAAGATTGTCAGAATAGAAATAAGCCGCCCCCTCGTCCATGCCCCTTATGTCAAGGGAATCACTGGAAGGTCCACTGCCCCAGGGGACAAAGGTCCTCTGAGTCAGAAGCCACTAACCAGAAGATCCAGCAGCAGGACTGAGGGTGCCCGGGGCAATGGCGCCAGCCCATGCCATCACCCTCACAGAGCCCCGGGTATGCTTGACCATTGAGGGCCAGGAGGTTAACTGTCTCCTGGACACTGGTGTGACCTTCTTAGTCTTACTCTCCTGTCCCGGACAACTGTCTTCCAGATCTGTCACTATCTGAGGGGTCCTAGGACAAGCAGTCACTAGATACTTCTCCCAGCCCCTAAGTTGTGACTGGGGAACTTTACTCTTTTCACATGCCTTTCTGATTATGCCTGAAAGCCCCACTCCTTTGTTAGGGAGAGACATTCTAGCAAAAACAGGGGCCACTATACACCTGAACATAGGAGAAGGAAAAAGGGTAAATATATATACAGACTCTAAGTATGTTTACCTAGTCCTCCATGCCCACGCAGCAATATGGAGAGAAAGGGAATTCCTAACTTCCAAGGGAACACCTATCAAACATCAGGAAGCCATTAAGAGATTATTATTGGCTGTACAGAAACCTAAAGAGGTGGCAGTCTTACACTGCTGGGATCATCAGAAAGGAAAGGAAAGGGAAATAGAAGGGAACCACCAAGCGGATATTGAAACTAAAAGAGCTGCAAGGTGGGACCTTCCATTAGAAATGCTTATAGAAGGACCCCTACTATGGGGTAATCCCCTCCAGGAAACCAAGCCCCAGTACTCAGCAGAAGAAACAGAATGGGGAACCTCACGAGGACAAAGTTTCCTCCCCTCACGATGGCTACCCACCGAAGAAGGAAAAATACTTTTGCCTGCAGCTAACCAATGGAAATTACTTAAAACCCTTCACCAGACCTTTCACTTAGGCATTGATAGCACCCATTGGATGGCCAAATCATGATTTACTGGACCAGGACTTTTCAAAACTGTCAAGCAGATAGTCAGGGCCTGTGAAGTGTGCCAAAGAAATAATCCCCTGCACTTCAGGCCATACATTTCAATCCCTGTATCTTTAACTTCCTTGTTAGGTTTGTCTATTCCAGAATTGAAGCTGTAAAACTACAAATCGTTCTTCAAATGGAGCCCCAGATGCAGTCCATGACTAAGATCTACTGCGGACCCCTGGACCGGCCCACTAGCCCATGCTTTGATGTTGATGACATTGAAGGCACCCCTCACGAGGAAATCTCAACTGCACGACCCCTACTATGCCCCAATTCAGCAGGAAGCAGTTAAGAGCTGTCGTTGGCCAACGTCCCCAACAGCACTTGGGTTTTCCTGTTGAGAGGGGGTACTGAGAGACAGGACTAGCTGGATTTCCGGGGCCAACTAAGAATTCCTAAGCCTAGCTGGGGAGTGTGACTGCATCTACCTTTAAACACGGAGCTTGTAACTCAGCTCACACCCGACCAATCAGGTAGTAAAGAGGGCTCACTAAAATACAAATTAGGCTAAAAGCAGGAGGTAAAGAGTCATATCATATATCACCTGAGAGCACAGGGGGAGGGACAATGATTGGGATATAAACCAAGGCAGTCTAGCAGGGAGCGGCAACCCCCTTTGGGTCACCTCCCTTATATGGGAGATCTGTTTTCACTCTATTAAATCTTGCAACTGCACACTCTTCAGGTCCGTGTTTGTTATGGCTCAAGCTGAGCTTTCGCTCGCCATCCACCACTGCTGTTTGCCGCCGTCCCAGACCCGCCGTTGACTTCCACCCTTCTGGATCCAGCAGGGTGTCCATTGCACTCCTGATCCAGCGAGGTGCCCATTGCCGCTCCTGATTGGGCTAAAGGCTCACCATTGTTCCTGCACAGGTAAGTGCCCGGCTTTGACCTAGTTGAGCTGAACACTAGTCGGTGGCTTCCATGGTTCTCTTCTGTGACCCACAGCTTCTAATAGAGCTATAACACTCACCACATGGCCCAAGCTTCTATTCCTTGGAATCTGTGAGGCCAAGAACCTTAGGTCAGAGAACAAAAGGTTTGCCGCCATCTTGGGAGCCGCTTGCCCCATCTTGGGAGCCGCCCGCCACCATCTTGGGAGCTCTAAGAATAAGGACCCTCCCGTAACACTGGTTCCAATCCAAGATCTACCTGGTCTAATTTCAAGATAAAAACTCTTTCTCTGAAGGAGAATTGCCACTTGCTGAATAAGGCATTGATTTGCACCAAGAATTTGCAATCCTCCCTGGTGATTGTCCTGTCCTGGCTTGTCACAGGCCCCTTTCAGTATCCTGAGTGGCCATAGACACTGAACACTGAGATCTATTGGGTATTAGAGTCAAATGGCAGAAGTGACCCAGCTAGAGTCTTCCCCTGTTCTTGGCCCCACTTAATTCTGGCACGCAAAGGCTCCAATTTCTCCATATCCTCTCCAAAACCTATAAATGGGCTGAGAAAGTACAAACAAATGTAGTGTAGGCAATTTCCCCCCACTCCACCAAAGCAAAGCGGCTTATCAAATACTATGCCTCTCTCTTAGTGTTAATGATGGCTGTGGGAAGGGTTAGGGCAATGTTTACCAATTCATCATTCACATGAGAAGAGTAACCTGACAATCCCCAAACCACTAGATACCCAGAAACCTCACTGAGGTGTCAGGTACTTGTTATTTTATGCAATTTTTCTCCCATTCCCTTGCACTCTTGTGACTTATCAGGGCATCTAGACTACTTTATATTTGGTATTCTCTGGGTCCTAGAAGAATACTATCAACATGTGGGCACACTGTGGTGTCCTATGGGATAATGGCTAAGTTCCCTGTGGACCAAATTGTGGCACTAAGCTAGAGTCAATGTAACTCAGGGCAAGACAGTGAAGATGCACCTAAAAAGCAAAAACAAATTGCTTCTAATGCCTTCTGCTGACTAGTATTCAGACAATATACATTAAATCAATATTTAATTTGGCAGACAGAATTGGGATTACCACACAACTATTCATTATAAACCATCCCCATTCTCTAAGGCCCATCTATTTTCACCACTAAGTGGTAGACACAAATTGACAGGTGTTTGAAATATCCATCCTTGCAACTTTCAACTCTTTAATGGTAGCTCCCATTTCTGAGACTTCTTCAGGAATGTGGCATTGATTTTCTTTTTCAATTTTTTTATTGTGGTAAATTACATTTACCATTTTAACTGTAAGTTCAGTGATATTAAATATGTTCATAATGCTGTGCAACTACAACTATCCATCTTCAAAACTCTTTTCATCTTGTAAAACTGAAACCCTACATCCATTAAATAATAACTTCTCATTTCCTCCTCCTCTGAACCCCTAGCAACCACCATTCTACTTTGTTTCTATGACTTTGACTACTCTAAGCAGCTCACGTATGTGGAATAATAAAGTATTTGTATTTTTGTGACTGTTGTATTTTACTTAGCATAATGTCCTTGAGGTTCATCCATGTTGTAGCATATGTCAGAATTTCCATCTTTTTAAAGGCTGAGTAGTATTCCATTGTATGTATTTACTACATTTTGCTTATTGATTCATCCATCAATGGACAGTTGGGTTGCTTCCACATATTAGCTATTGTAAATAATGATGCTATAAACATGAGTGTACAAACATCTCTTCAAGACCCTGCTTTCAATTCTTTTGGGTATTACTCAGAAATGAATTGCTTGATCATATAGTAATTCAATTTTTAATTATTATAGGAACCATCATACTGTTTTCCACAGTGGCTTTACCATTTTACATTCCCAAAGACGGTACACAAAGGCTCCAATTTCTCCATATCCTCTCCAACACTTGTTATTTTCTGTTTTTGTAATAGTAGCCATCTTAACGGGTGTGAGGTGGTATTTCATGGTGATATTTCATGCATTTCTCTAATGATTACTGATGTTGAGTGTCTTCATGTGATTATTGGCCATCTGTATATCTGTTTTGTAGAAATATCTATTCAAGTCCTGTGTCTATTTTTTAATTGGGTTGTTTTGTTGTTGAGCTTTAGGAGCTATCTACATACTCTAGATATTAATCCCTTACCAGACTTATAATTTGCAAATATTTTATTTTATCCCATTCTGTGAGTTGACTTTTTACTCTATGGATAGGTGTTTTGTTTTGAGATGGAGTCTTGTTCTTGTTGCCCAGGCTGGAGTGCAATGGCACAATCCTGGCTCACTGCAACCTCTGCTTCCCAGATTCAAGTGATTCTCCTGCCTCAGCCTCCCAAGTATCTGGGATTACAGGCACTTGCCACCAAGCCCGGCTAATTTTTGTATTTTTAGTAGAGATGGGGTTTCGCCACATTGACCAGGCTGGTCTCGAACTCCTGACCTCATGATTTGCCTGTCTCAGCCTCCCAAAGTGCTGGGATTACAGGCATGAGCCACCGCGCCCAGCCTGGATAGTGTCTTTTGATGCACACAATTTCAAATTTTTCATGCAGTTCAAATTTGTCTATTTCTTTTGTTGTCTGTGCCTTTGTTATCATATCCAAGAAATCACTGCCAAATCTAATGTTGTAAAGTTTTTGTCCCATATGTGCTTCTAAGAGTTGTATTCTTTTAGTTTTACATTTAGGTCTTTAATCCATTTTGAGCTAATTTTTGTATATGATGTAATAATGAAGTTAATAACTTCTAGGCTATCTATTCTATTCCATTGGTCTACATGTCTATCTTTTTGCCATTACCACAATTTTTGATTATTGTAGATTTGCAGCAAGTTTTGTCATGAAGTATGAATCCTCCAACTTTGTTCTTTTTCAAGATCATTATAGCTATTTGGGGTCCCTTGAGATTTCATAGGAACTTTAGGACACATTTTTCTATTTGTGAAAAACAAAAGCTTTTGGGATTTTGATGGGATTTTTGGTGATTTTAATCTACAGATAATTGCATTGTATCTGTAGATTTTTGGGGGTAGTATTAACATCTTAACAATATTAAGTCTTCCAATCTATAAACATGGGATGAGTGTTTCCATTTACTTACATCATCTTTAACTACTTTCAGCAAAGTTTTTGTAGTTGTTTTTTCTAAAATTCTAAAACTTCCAAGGCCATGTCTTTTGCCACCTTGGTTAATTCCTATTTTATTCTTTTTGAAACTATTATAAATGGAATTGTTTTCATAATTTCCTTTCCAGATTGCTCATTGTTAGTGTATAGAAACGCAAGTGATTATTGTATGCTGGCTTTGTATCCTGCTATTTTGCTGAATTCATTTATTAGTTCTAACAGTTTTTTGTGGAATCTTTAGGATTTTCTACATATAGATCATACCATCTTTAAGCAGAGATAATTTTATTTCTTCTTTTCCAACTTGGATGCCTTTTATTCCTTTTCCATGACTAATTGCTCTGGCTAGGACTTCCAGGACTATGTTGAATAGAAGTGGTGAAAGTGAGCATTCTTTTCTTATTGCTGATCTTAGAGGAAAAGCTTTCAGTCTTTTAACATTGAATATGATGTTTGCTGTGGGTTTTTCACATATGGCTTTTATTGTGCTGAAGTAGTTTCCTTCTATTCCTAGTTTGTTGAGTGTTTTTTAAATCATGAAAGCATGCTGAATTTTGTCAAATGCTTTTTCTGCATTAATCAAGATGATCACATGCGTTTTTTTTCCTTCATTCTGTTAATATGATATAATGATTGATTTTCATATGTTGAACCATCTTTGCATTCCAAAAATAAATCCCCCTTTGTCACTTTGTCACGGTGTGCAATCCTTTTAATAGGCTGCTGAATGTAATTTGCTAGTATTTTGTTGAGGATATTTGCATTAATGTTCATAAGGCATATTGTATGTAGATTTCTTTTCTCATAGTGCTTTGTCTGGCTTTCCTAACAAGGGCCACACTATTCTACCTGGAGATAGTATCAGATTTCACAGGGTAAGGGCTCAGTCTCATGAGACTGACCCCACTTCACATGCTAATGTAAAGTCCCAGATTGTGAACTGTGCTTCCGACTGCCAGCTATAAATCAGGATTCAATAATTTGCTAGGATGGCTAACAGAGATCAGATAAATGCTTTACTTACGTTTTCCCATTTATTATAAAGGATACAACTCAGGAACAGCCAAATAGAAGAGATGCAAAGGGCTAGATATAGGCATGAGCTTCCATGCCCTCTCCAGATGTGCCATCCTCCAGGCACTTACAGGTGTTCAGCAATCCAGAAGCTCTCTGAACTCTGTCCTTTGGGGTTTTTATGTAGGCTTCATTACATAGGCATGATTGATTAAATCATTGGCCATTGGTTACCAACTCAACCTTCAACCCCTCTCCCCTTTCTGGAGGTCAGGGGGTGGGGCTGACAGTTCCCACTCTCAAATGACATAATTGGTCCCCTGGCAATCAACCCCCAGACTGAGGCTATCCGTGAGCCCCAAACAACCAGTCATCTTATTAGCATACAAAAAGACACACATTACTTCAGAGATTCCAAGGGTTTTAGGAGCTTTATGCCAGGAAGGGGAAAAGTGGACCAAGTATGTATTTTTAATTTTGTCACAGTCCTTATAAGAAGAGAAAAAGACTAGAGCTCACTCTCTCTGCCAGGTAAGGATACAGCAACAAAGTGTCCCTCTGTAAGCCAAGAGAGGGCCCACATCAAGAACTGAATTGGGCAGCACCTTTGTTACTAGAAAAAGATCCCAATCCAGACCCCAAGAAATGGTTTTTGGCTCTCACACAAGAAAGAATTCAGGGTAAGTCCACAGAGTAAAGTGAAAGTGAGTTTCTCAGAGAAGGAAGAAACAAAACAAAAGAATGGCTACTCCATAGGCAGAGCAGCCCCAAGGGCTGCTGGTTGGTTATTTTTATGGTTATTTCTTGATTATATGCTAAACAAGGGGTGAATTATTCATGAGTTTTCCAAAAGAGGGGTGGGCAATTCCCAGAACTAAGGGTTTCTCCCATTTTTAAACAATATAGGGTAACTTCCAGACATTGCCATAGCATTTGTAAACTGTGATGGTGCTAGTGGGAGTGTCTTTTAACATGCTCATGCATTATAATAAGCACATAATGAGCAGTGAGGACCACCAGAGGTCACTTTCATTACTATCTTGGTTTTGGCAGGTTTTGGCTGGCTTCTTCACTGCATTCTGTTTTATCAGCAGGGTCTTTGTGACCTGTATCTTGTGTTGACCTCCTCTCTCATCCTGTGATAAGAATTCCCAGGAATGCAGCCCAGCAGTTCTCAGTCTCATTTTACCCAGCCCCTATTCAAGAATCACTCTGGTTTGAACTCCTCTGCCATATTTCCCCCTCTCCCTTTTATAAGGGAACCTTTAATTTTAAGGGTTGCAGAGGGATGAAGCTCCATATTCTATAGCTTCTTCAAGCTGAATCGGGGTGGTGATACTTCTTTCTATTAGGTCTCTTGTATTCAGAGTAGGGAGGAATTCAGTCAGAAAACATCAGTATGGTGAAGGTCATTCATAACTCTGAATCCCAACAAAAGATGGTATCTGGAAGCTTAATATGTGTTCAATTTAAGAAAACATTGACTAAGGTTATCCTGCATTCTTACACGAAGAGTAAAGCAGTAATATAAGTCAATAAGAAGACTTTTCATGAACTGGAAAATTGTTGGAACCACGCTGATATAAGGTTGCTAGCCAATTCTAATACATGCCCAGAATAAGAATACTTATCCAGATTTTTACATTACCCATCCTTCTTGTTTCCTCTGAGCAGCAGCCAGAGATCACTGATTGGTTCACAGGGGATAAGCAGGGTCAGTCTTAATTGCAGAAAAAAACTCAAAAACAATAGATGAGACTAGAATCTAATAAGAGGTGTACCATAGTTTTTGAAACATAGTTTTTCTCTATCTAGTCCCCATTTTTATTTTTAAAAAATCATGGCAAGACTGATTCATTTACAAAATAAGCTTTAGTCTGATTATACTTGGGCTGATTATTTGCATAAAGAACAGCAAGACTAATTATTTGCCATATATGCTCCTTTTAAATTGACTTTGGTGGAACTTTGTTCTATCAAAAAAAGAGAAAAGAAAATCTCTTATTAGACTTTTCAAAGCCATGAGCACAACCATGGGTTTGTGTCTGCAAGTACCTGCATGAGTTGGGTAAATTCTCCTTCTCTTGAGGTACCAAAATAACTTGGGGGCTACTGAGCCTGTCAGAAATTGACATTCTTTACTTACTACAGGTCAGGAAACTTGTACAGGGATTTCATATGCAAAGTATGAGACCAGTTTTCCCAAGGGGCTTTTACTGGCTCTATAAGCCAACTTTGATTCCTTAAAGCAGTATGTTTGTATCTGAAAGCATGCCATTCCAGTCAAAGCCTCGTAAAATAACCAGCGTCTCCAATTGTGTCCTGTTATAAAAGAAAACAGATTCTTATAGCCCTTATGTAAAAAACTACATTGTCATACACTGAAGGTTTTAACATGAAGCTTTACCTATCTAACTTAAAACAACATTTTAACCCTCTAAACTAGGCAAAACAACAATGACAACAACAACCCACATTCCTATGCCTTATTATAATCTTTTACCAAAAACACATTTTACTTTCCTTATACACCTTGCATGTAAAACTATTTCTCCAGTAGTCTTAATTATATATGTTACAATATTTACTCTTAGCAACTTTTATTTTTGGTGAGAAACCTGTTAAGTAAGCAATTTTCATTATGTACCAGGTGTGGAGCCCAGGACACCAGACAGAAGTGCAGGAAAAATCTGACTCTTTCCATCCCATAGTGGGCATAGCCAACTCCACATGTCCCCAGGCCTTAGCTAGAATCTAATGGGTCCAAAGCAGGAATTTGAACAATTATCAAAAGTCAAAGAAGTAGTTTATGTAGCTTAGTAAACACAGTATATGACCTGCCTAATCTAGACCAAATATCTAAATTTTGAAGACATTTTAATTTTACCAATAATTTTTAAAACTCTTTATTTCTTAAAGATTACTAAAGTCACGTGAATTAAAAGGCATTAAATTTTCTATTTTTTCTGACAAGATATTTAAGTGCTTATTATTTTTAAGTCAATTAATCAGAGCTCTTTCATATTTTCAATAGTAAAACATCACACACAACACATAAATACATAGACAGACAGACAGAAGCAGATCTGGTATTGTTTCAAAGCTTTTCTTTCCTATTTTCATGCTGAATTCTGGGTCCCCCGAAAGAGGGAAGTGCTACAGGACCAGAAAGTGCAATGCTTTTACTATGCATTTTACTTCCAGTCCATTCCCCTGAAGCTGGTGGGCAACCCAAAGCCAATCAGCCCATCTCCTGTAGGACTTTTACCTCTCTGGGGGTGGGGGTGGGAATGTTTTCATACTTTCTAGGTGGCCAAAAGTACGCTCCCCTGATCCAAACATGCAAAGAGCCAAGTATCCCCCCATAACTGCCATTATCCATCTCTAAAAGTATATTTTCTACCTAGCTATTACATACTAAAACTAAAAGCTCTCTCATAGTGCTAAGTAATTTCTGATACCCCCAAAAGTAAAAAAATGCTAGGTAGCACAATGCAAAACAGAACGGAGCTTTAGATTTTGAGAGGCATCTATCCACTTTCAATTTCTGGGGTTCCAGGAGGAAACTAGAGGTTTTTCCAAAAACAGGGACTGTGGCACCTCCTCTGTTTTTCCCAAGAGTCCCAGGCTGTTAGAAATTATCTTAGTTCCCTTCATATGAGCATCAAGAGTGGCAAGATGACAAAATGGAGAAAAATAATTCAGTGTACTCAGAAAAAAAAAACCTTTTTTCAGAAAAACAAGATCCAAGAAGAGAACATAAATGCCTCTTAAATATATGTATAGCTTGGATATCTGTTTTTAATTAAGCCGACTTTTAACCAAATCTGTTATTCCCAGACTCCATCTGGGACAAAGAGCCAATATTTCTGGCTTTTCAATTTTACTAAAGGTAACCTCTGAGGTGAAACCAATAAGCCTAAGGTATATAAGTTATACCTTAAGTTATACCGTAAGTTATGACTTAACCATGGTATAAAAGATATTTTGTAAGAAGTGGTAAGCAGTTTTTACAAGATCTAGAATCTCCAAAGGTAGCTCAGAGAAAAGAAAATTCAAGATAGGAAGTTAGAAGTTGTTCACACAGGGGAAAATAATCAATAAATGGCAAAAATCACACACGTAGGCCGGGTGTGGTAGCTCACGCCTGTAATCCTGACACTTTGGGAGGCCGAGGCAGGCAGATCACCTGAGGTCGGGAGTTCGAGACCAGCCTGACCAACATGGAGAAACCCCACCTCTACTAAAAATACAAAATTAGCGAGGCGTGGTGGCACATGCCTGTAATCCCAGCTTCTCGGGAGGCTGAGGCAGGAGAATCACTTGAACCCAGGAGGCGGAGGTTGCAGTGAGTCAAGATCGCCCCATTGCACTCCAGCCTGGGCAACAAGAGCAAAACTCAATCTAAAAAAAAAAAAAAAATCACACATATGTCAAACCAGAAATGACTCATTCCCTAAGCTGGGAGTTGAACCTGGGATACCATTGTAAAAAGACAAAGCCTTAGCTACTGAGCTATAGCATTCGGTTGTTTCTAGTGTACTTCCCAGAAGGAGCCTAGAGCAGCCAATCTTGAGCTTGCAAAGGTTTTTTACTGTTCAAGATAATTTTTAGGGCTATGACATGAACCCCCAAAGTCCCATCCTCCAGTTGGTGGAAGTCAAAAGAAAGTACTTCCACATAGTCACAGGGTCAAGCTCCCAAGGACATAAAACAAAACAAGAGGAAAATCTCATCCAGTTTTTGTTTCAGGGACCTGCAGCAAAGTTTGTAACTGACCAGTTTGCTAGGTTGGCTTGAACAGTGGGCTTGGGTCCTACACCCACATTTTATCCTTTGGTATCCCTTTTTATGATAGAACAACACAGAAAAATTCATAGCACAAAGTACACCAGATTTGCTACAGCCTAAGAATAGCTTCACAAACCCTTTTTCCCATTAGTCAAAATCTTGCAGAGGAGACAGTGACTTTTATCATTCTTTCAGCTGGTTTACATAGAAAGAGAGAGGCCAGAAGTCTGATTCATAAGAAATTCTTGCCCTATTGCCAGCATGCTAGGTTTCTGGGTTCCCTTTCTCTAAGCGGCGCTGATGGCCTTGCTTGTTGCACCATAGCTATGGGGGTTAAGCCACATTACAAAGGAACCATAGGCAAAAAGCCTCTCAATTTTGCAAGACACCGCCCAACTGGCTGCATAGGGAAACCAAATTAACATTTTCCTTTCCAGCTGGAGCAAAATATGTGTGACAAAACAGACACTAGCCACCCTGCTCAGTGCCCAAAATCAACCTAGCAAGGCTCAAACTTGCCCCCATTGGTCCATGTTGTCTTTGATCCACTCAAAGTGGAGTGGAATGATCTCTTACTAGGAGTTTCAACGTGGGTCTCTGGGCAAGATGGAACAGCAGACAGTCGCCCTGAGTGAAAGAAAAGATAGAAAAGGGAAAGGTGAAACAGAGAGAGGGAGGAAAGGGAAAGGAAGAAAGTGCTGCTTGCAGTGAGGCAGGGGAGGTGAGGAGCTCAGGAAGGCTAGAGAAAGACCCACTCATCGCAGCTATACTGAATCAAAAGTTCAGGAAGCTGCTTATCAGTCATGAAGGAATATTTTCCAGTAGTTCCATCAGCTCTCAAGTTTCCCCCTTTCAGGAGAAAAAAGCTCCCCATGTCTCGTGATCCTGCATGTGCTCAGTCCTGTCACCCACAGCTGTCAGCAGAGAGTGCAAGGTGAATTAATCCAAAGAGAATAGCAATTAACATCCTGTAGAGCCAAATCCATTCTTTATTTTTGAGACAGGGTCTCACTCTGTCACCCAGGATGGCGTGCAAGTGGTGCAACTACATCTTACTGCAGCCTCAACTTCTCAAGCTCAGATAATTCTCCCACCTCAGCCTCCCAAGTAGCTGAGACCACAGGCATGCACCACCACACCTGGCTAACATTTTTTTTGGTAGAGATGGGGTTTCACTATATTTCCCGGGCTGGTCTCAAGCTCCTGGTCTCAAGAAATCCGCCTACCTCACCCTCCCAAAGTGCTGGTATTACAGGTATGAGCCACCATGCCCAGACTAAATTCATTCTCAACCAAGAGGGGCCTTACCAAGGGGGACCATATAGGGTATCTTCCAACATTGCCATGGCATTTGTAAACTGTCATGGTGCTGGTGGGAGTGTCTTTTAGCATGCTAATGCATGATTAACATACAGTAAGCAGTGAGGACCACCAAAGGTCACTTTCATCGCCATTTTGGTTTTGGTGGGTTTTGGCCAGCTTCTTGACTACATCCTGTTCTATCAGCAGGGTCTTTATGACCTATATCTTCTGTCGACCTCCTATCTCATCTTGTGACTAAGAATGCCCAGCCTCCTGGGATTGCAGCTCAGCAGGTCTCAGCCTCATTTTACCCAGCCCTTATTCAAGATGGAGTCACTCTGATTTGAATGCCTCCAACACCTTGATCTTGAACTTCCCACCCATCACAACTGTGAGGAATAAATAAAGTCCTATCGTTTAAGCCACTCATTCTATGGGATTTTTGTTACAGCAGTCTGAAGACACAAGGACTCCCTCAAGTTTACCCAAGATCCTCTTTATTCCAGGAAAATTAAGTCTGGGAATGAACTCAGTTTAGGCAATTTGGTCAGAGGCAAAGATGCTCCACCTTGTTGGCTCTTGTCCAACCTCTATTCACCATACCTGGGATTATCTACAAGTAGGATTCTAGTGGCAGGACCAGGATGAGGGGGACTCCAGGTAACCATGCAGGTTGCCCCTTTTTCTTTTTTCATTTCTAAGGACTTGTTGACCTAGAGAAATAAGCTGAGTCACAAAATATAATATTAAGTTTACTTGAGCCAAAGCGAGCACAGCTGTCCGGGAAGTGCTTCCAAGTTGCCTTGGGATATGCTCCATTAGGCCTTTGTAATAAGCAGGTGTTTTGTTTCTTTTTTTTGAGACGGAGTTTCGTTCTTGTTGCCCAGGCTGGAGTGCAATGGTGCAATCTCAGCTCACCACAACCTCCGCCTCCCGGGTTCAAGTGATTCTCCTGCCTCAGTCTCCCGAGTAGCTGGGATGACAGGCATATGCCAACATGCCCGGATAATTTTGTATTTTAGTTGAGATGGGTTTTCTCCATGTTGGTCAGGCTGGTCTCGAACCCCCGCTCTCAGGTGATCTGCCCGCCTCGGCCTCCCAAAGTGCTGGGATTTCAGGCGTGAGCCACCGAACAAGCAGGTTTTTAAAGGTGAAGGAAATAAGGAGTGGGCTGATAAAAAAAAAATTGTTTGACAGGAATTCTCATTGGTTTACAGAAATAACATTGATTAGTGATTGGCTATACATTGTTGAACTACTGGATATGAGTTAGGGTGTCCAGCCTATGGCATTGTTAGGTTAACTCATGGATGGTTCGCATCAGTCAATCTAGAACCCACATAGTAAGTGGCTTCAAATGCTGGCATTACAAGCATGAGCCACTGTACCTAGCCAATGCAAGCTTTTTTAAAATAGCAACATTCATCCATTCATGAGGGCAGAGGCCTCATGACCTAAACACCTCCCATTAGGCCCCACCTCCCACACTGTTGCATTGGGGATTAAGTTTCCAGTACATGAATTTTGGGAGACACATGCAGACCATTGCAAATACCAAGAGATTTAGCCGCCCTACTCCACAGTGCTTCATGCAGTTCTACAGTAACTTAGTACACCAAAACCAAAGTGCCCCCGTGGGCACTTCATTCCAAGTGACTCGTGATATTCAGATCACCTATTTTGTTACTGTGTATCAATGACTGTCAGGTTCTAATTCCTGAATAACTAGCCAGATGCTCACTGCTTTTGGTCCCAATAAAAGCAGGTATCCAGTGTCATATTCCTCTTACTTTCTTCACCCCACTCCTAGTACTAGTTTTCATACTCTCAGCATTCTGTCTCAAAAATAGAAACTGGCAATGGCTACTTGAATCAAATAAGGCAATTATTGGCAGGATGTCGGGAAAAAATCTCATAGCACTAAAAGAAGCCTAGAGATCTACACTCAGAAAATGCCTAGGACTAAAAGGCAGCCAAGGGGTCAGAATAATTTACCCCCACACAACGTCCTGGTTAGGGAGCTGATAGTACCCCCACTGAAAGCTGGCTGCAGCCACCAGCCCCGCTGCCAATGACAGAGCTCCGCATTCCCTGGAGTGCGTTCCAAACTCTTCCTGCTTCCATGTACCTCATTCCACATTCCAAGTCTCACATGTACATGTGACTGGGCAGGCTTAGGGCACTTCTAGGGCCTATGGGAAGAAAAACATCTGGTGCTTTTGGCTTTTGTAGTGTAGTTAGGTCCTGGTTTCTACTCAGAGTCACATATAGATTTGGATTTGCCCCAAACATAGAAAAGAGTTTCAAATGTTGGGGGTGTAAAAAAGACAACTACAAATACCTTCCACAAGCAACGTAAGTGGGACTGAGCCTATGCCAGAATAAAAAATCGTGGAAATTGCTTGAGGCTGCCAGAGCCTGGGGTGGTTTTCTGGCAAAGGCCTCATCTGCTTCTTGTCTCTCTCTTTGCAGGAAGATGCAGTCTAGCTAGAATGCTAACTCCAAGCCTGAGTAAGAATGACAGGAAGTCCACAGAGTGGAATAGTATTTAGCAATAAGAAGAAATGAACTACCAAGCCACAAAAAAGACATAGAAAGACCTTAAATGCTTATTGTTAAGTGAAAGAAGCCAATCCCAAAAGGCCACATAGTGTATAATTCCAACTCTAAATACTCTGGAAAAGGCAGAAGACAGAGATAGTGAAAAGGTCAGTGGTTGCCGGGGGTTTGTAGGGAGGGAGAGATGAACAGGCAGGGCATGGGGTGGGGGGTTTCAGGGCAGGGAAGCACTTCTGTATGATACTGTAATAGTGGATACAAGACGTTATGCATTTGTCAAAACCCATAAAACTGTGCAGTGCAAAGAGTGAACCGTGATGTAAACTATAGATGTCAGGTAATGATAATGTATCAATATTCATTCCTTAATTTTAACAAATACCACACTAATCCAAGATGTTAATGAAGGGGAAATGGGTGGAGGGAACTGTCTGTACTTTATGCTTTCTGTACTTTCTGTACCTTTTTCTGTAAACCTAAAACTGCTCTGAAAAATAAAATCTTAATTAAAAAAATGACAGCACGTTGGGGCTACCTGGATTATGAATCAAAGACCATGTGATCTGTATTCAAATGATTGACCTATGAGCCATTGTTGTTCTCTGACGACCACCTTTTCACCCAGTAGTGATATTCAGAGCTCTCACACAGTAAGTCACCAACGTTTTTGTGGTCTTCCATGAAACCTAGGAGGTCTCCATGGCAGACAGACACACCTTTCCTACCAGTCTCCTTCCCACCCTCTCCGTCCTCTGCCCACCAGGCAGCTGTCTGCGCCTGTGGCTCTCAGTCCCCTGCAGAGGACATCAGCTTTGATAATCAGGCCAGTTTGCGTGAAATGTCCTTTAGAACCATCCAGCATAGTTTTCCCCGAAATGTCCCTGTCAGAATCATCTAGTGTGTGCTGGGTGGGAGGAGGCAGGAGGAAGACTGGAGGTACGCGTTGTTTTTAAAACAAAATATCCAGTGCTCTCCTCAGACCTACACATCGGAGCCTCGCGCTGAGGTCCAGGTACACTGTGCAGGAGCAGCGCCCAGGTGGTTCTGGTGCCGTCAGTGCAGTCTGGTGCAGTCATTCAGCCTGCTCCCCCGACTTCCTGCCTATGCTTCTCCCTTGGAAAGATAAACAGTAAACGAGAGCTCCCAAAGCACAAATGGCCACCCTGGGTCATGATGAAAGCCTCCCACAGCCACTTCCTGAGCCAGATTACCTTGGAGCCTCCTTCGCTCCTTTTCCTTCCTCTTCCCCTACCAGTCCACAAGCCACTTGGGTGAAATTAGCCACCTGAAAAACTCACCTAATACGCGGTCTGATGGTGACTTGAGTGGCCTCAGAATAGTCGAGTTCATAGAGTATTCTGAAGCAGAAAGAAAACCAGCGGGGGGGCACCCGGATTTGAACCGGGGACCTCTTGATCTGCAGTCAAATGCTCTACCCCTGAGCTATATCCCCATGGGCCACAAAGTTTTCCAGCTGGCATTATTTCATGGTGTTGCAATGCTCGGGTGTCCTACAGTGTACAGAGATCCTTGTTCATTCCCACTGAGCCCGCGAGGATCTGCTGGCTGCATCCCTCACACCCACGCCTTCTGCCCTCATTTCCCCTAGGGGCTGTTTCCCCCCGGTAGGATGATTCCTCCGCAGGCTCTTGCAGTCGCCGCCTTTTCTTTCTTCTGTGTGAAATCAGTTATCGCTCGCCCATCTGCTTTTTGTCCTGTGGGTTTATACTTTTTTAAAAATTGCTTTCTTTTTATTAGGAAAATATTCTTATTTTAAAAAGTTGTATAGTTAAGTAAAATCTTCACATAAACAAAATAAAATAGAGTAAAATAAAATGATACAACACTACCGTATTTTAGTAGGAAAAAAAGTTTTAGAAAAAAACTCTAACCATAACTCAAATTCCACGACCTCAAATCTAATACATGCACTGTTATACATAGTTTAAAAAAATTAATATTCTCAGATTCAATCCAGGATGGTCACAATTACTAAGAATTTTTTTGTTTTGTTTTTATTTTTCATTTTTAATTGCATTTTTATTATTTTATTTTTATTTACTTCCTTTACTTGTAACATTTCCCTCCTCAAGAAGGATTGTTCAAAATGTATATTTTCTCGTTTTTAAATTATGTAATTTTGGCTGGACGTGGTGGTTTACGCCTGTAATTCCAGCATTTTGGGAGGCCGAGGCGGGTGGATCATCTGAGGTCAGGAGTTCGAGACCAGCCTGGCCAAAATGGTGAAACCCCGTCTGTACTAAAAATACAAAAAAGTAGCCGGGAGTGGTGGCCGGCGCCTGTAATCCCAACTACTCGGGAGGCTGAGGCAAGAGAATCACTTGCACCCGGAGGGCAGAGGTTGCAGTGAGCTAAGATCACGCCACTGCACTCCAGCCTGGGAGACAGAGGAAGACGCCGTCTCAAAAATAAATAAATAAATAAATAAATAAATTAATTAATTAATTAATTCTTCCTTTACTGTGTGTGTGTTAGTTAAAAAAAAAAAAGTTTAAGGCCTGGTAGACATATCCTTTTGGCTGTCAGGGCCCTCGAACCATGTCATTTCAAAATAAAATAATGTCATGATGCTTTGATGAGATGAGAATTGAATAATAAAGTTGTGTTACTGACACTGTACTGTTAGGAAATGCTTTTTGAGGGCTGAAGAAAAATAACCTCCGACTTAGAATTCTGAACCCAGGTAAACCGACAGCCAAACGTGCGGGAGAAATAAAGCCGTTCGGGATGCACACCACCTAGGCGCGTGTATTAGAGCGGAGCCTCCCTGAAGGAGCAGCCAGGGAGAGCGAAGGGGAAGCCGGGGGCACCCCGCGCCGCCGCAGCCTCCCCTGGCCTCGGCGGAAGGGGCCCTCGGTCACTAAGTCCTTCCTCGCGAAGCCCGCAGGCATCTCCAGCCGCGCGCAGTCCTGGGCGCTCCCGCCGCCGCCCACCGAGGCACAGGCACCTTCTCCGTGAGCCGGGCCCCAGGCACCGCCACTCAGCTCTGCGACGGCCGGCCCCGTGCGGCCCCAGCCCGCCCTCGCCTCCGCACCCTGGGGAGCCACCTGTCCACTTCGGAGCCGCTGTCACAGCCCCCACCAGCTCCGGCGCTGGGATTACAGGCGTGAGCCACCGCGCCCATCCCCCCATCACTTGTTATTCCCTCGCTCAGTTTTCGTAACAGTCCTTATTAGGTCTGCATTAGAGTAATGCCGATTTTTGTTAATGATCCTCACCCTCCCTATGATGGAGGCCCCATGAAGGCAGACACTTCATCTGTCTTGTTCTATGTGCTGGGTGCTTACTCACCAATCAAAAGTATTTGTTGAATAAATGGATGAATAAACAGTAAACAAAGAAAGAGATAAATATGTAGATAAATTTAAACATAAATGTTATGTATAAAAATGATAAATAACTACAGTTTCTTGGGGTTTAAAAACATGTGGTGGTGAAGGGGTGTAGTATTCCAGGTAATAATACAACAAATATGAGAGTTCTGAGAGAAGTTAAAATACTCCAAATTCCCTATCTTAGTTTACAAGTGAGAAAATATATTATTAGAAAAATTGGGCTGGGTGAGGTGGCTCACGCCTGTAATCCCAGCACTTTGGGAGGCCGAGGCGGGTGGATCACCTGAGGTCAGGAGTTCTAAACCAGCCTGACCAACATGGAGAAACCCCATCTCTACTAAAAATACAAAATTAGCTGGGCGTGGTGGTGCATGCCTGTAATCCCAGCTGCTCGGGAGGCTGAGGTAGGAGAATCACTTGAACCTGGGAGGCAGAGGTTGCGATGAGCTGAGATCAGGTCATTGCACTCCAGCCTGGGCAATGGGAGCGAAACTCACTCTAAAAAAAGAAAGAAAGAAAGAAGAAAGAAAGGAAGGAAGGAAGGAAGAAAGAAAAAGGAAAGAAAGAAAGAAGAAAGAAAGGTTAAGTATACACATTAAAAAGTACTGGGCAACCACTAAAAAAATAAAATAAAATAAAATAAAATAAAATAAAAATACATAACTTACAAACCAGTAGGGATGGGAGTAGATTTTTCTTCAAGTAATCCAAAACAAAATAGAAAGAAGGATGAAGAAGAAGGTATAGAAGGTAGAAGAAGGAAAAAAGAAGAAAATGAAAAAGGCAAAATGATAGGAACAAGTTTAAATCTATTAGTAATCACAAAAAAAGATGAATTAAACTCAAATATATCCACGGCTAGACATTCATAAGAGATTTTCTCAAAATATAAAAATAAAGGTTAAAAATAAAGTAACTGAAAATGACTGACCAAGAAAAGGTATCAGAATATTTATATGAGAAATAAAAATTTATAGAAAAAAAATCATTAATGGAAACAGAGATTTTACATTATAATAAAAGAAAAAAAGTCCTTCAAGGTATGACAATCATGCCAAGTCTTGAACTATCTAAAGCAAAAATTGACAAAATTATGCCAAAACATTATAAATCCCTAATCAGAGATTTCTATACAACTCTGTCAGAAACAGATCAAATAGGTGAAAATATAAGTAAGGCTAAAGGATATTTTTAAAAATAATCAAATTACCAAGAATATATATGTATAAATACGTTAAAATCTCTCTTGCCCTCTCTAGAGGACAAGAAAGATGAGAGAGAGAGAACTACAATCAACAAATACAGCAAATATACTGTTAAAGCACTCACAGAATATTTACAAAAACTGAGCAAATACTAAGATAGAAAATAAGTCTTTAAAAAATTCTGCCAGGCACAGTAGTGCAACCCTGTAATCAATCTCAGCACTTTGGGAGGCCACGGCAGGAGGATCACT
Organism: Homo sapiens; assembly: GCF_000001405.40. Lineage (NCBI taxonomy): Eukaryota > Metazoa > Chordata > Mammalia > Primates > Hominidae > Homo > Homo sapiens. The sequence continues at coordinate 149,694,612 of NC_000007.14, forward strand.
CGACTCCAGGAGTTTGAGACCAGCCTGGGCAACATGGCAAGACCCACAACAAAAACACAAAAACTAGTTGGGCTTGGTGGCACGTACCTGTAGTCCCAGCTACTTGGGAGGCTGAAGAGGGAGGATCACTTGAGCCTAGGAGTTCCAGGCTGCAGTGAGCCGTGCTTGCACCCTGCCTGGGCAGCAGAGTAATACCCTATCTCAAAAAAAATAAAAAATCTAAGGAATCACAATTGTATGACCACAATGCAGAAACATCAGGAAACTCTAATAATATAAAAATGCCACATATGTTCAGAAACACACTACCAAAAAATGACAATATAAACACAACAAAATACTGTATATGAAAGATTTCTTTAATGCAGCAATCAAATAGATATGTTTGAAGATGAAAGAATATTAATGAGCTGATCATTCAATATAAGATTATAGAAAAATAACAATAAAGCCTAAAAATACTAGGAAGGAAACTTAGAAGATACAAGGAGAAAAAAAGATACAAATCAAGATACAAAACAACAGAGAAGGACAAATCCAAGAGTTAGTTATTGAAACAAATCATAAATCAGACAAAGCTCGGGCAAAACTGCTCAAGAAAAAGAACATACAAATAAAAAACAAGAAGAGGCCGGGCGTGGTGGCTCATGCCTGTAATCCTAGCACTTTAGGAGGCTGAGGCAGGCGGATCACGAGGTCAAGAGATCGAGACCATCCTGGCCAACATGGTGAAACCTCGTCTATACTAAAAATAAAAAAAATTAGCTGGGCATGGTGGTGCGTGCCTGTAATGCCAGCTACTCCAGAGGCTGAGGCAGGAGAATTGCTTGAACCCAGGAGGTGGAGGTTGCAGTGAGCCAAGATTGTGCCATTGCACTCTAGCCTGGTGACAGAGCAAGACTGTCTCAAAAAAAAAAAAAAAAAAAAAGAAGAAGAAGAAGAAAGGCAAAGGGATACAAATACAGATATTGTAGAAATGCAAAAAATCATGAGCTGCTATAAATGAGTTTATAACAACCATTAAATATGTATAACTATAAAATAAATTGTTACATAATTTCATCTTATGTACTCAGATGAAATGTATATCTTTTAAATAAATTTAATAAATGATCAAAAATTTCATTTAAAAATGGACAAAGATTGCTTTATAGATGATTTCTACAAAACTTTTGTGAACAAATGTGAACCTGGGCTGAGTGCAGTGGCTCACACCTGTAATCCCTGCATTTTGGGAGGCTGATGGAGGTGGATGGCTTGAGCCCAGGAGTTGAAGACCAGTCTGGGCAACATAACGGGACCCTGTATCTACTAAAAGTACAAAAACTTAGCTGGGCATAATGGCGCACACTGTGGTCCCAGCTACTCTGGAGGCTGAGGCAGGAGGATAGCTTGAACCCTGAGAGGTGGAGGCTACAGTAAGCCATGATCACACCACTGCACTTCAGCATGGGTGACAGTGAGACCTGTCTCAACAAGAAACAAAACAAAAACATCAAATGTGAACCCGAAACAGCCAAACTTCAAGATAGATACTGAGTGGCTAACTGGAACTAAATTTAACATGGAGCCAAGGCACCATTTGCCGACTAGGGGGTCATGCAAAACCCTTAACTTTTCTCCCAAAGCCCACATCTTTTTATCTTTGTGGCTTTTCTGCCAAAAGCCCACATCGTTTTATCTTTGGGACTTTCAGAGCTCATGTGCCTCAGCCATTCAGGGCTGAGCCATATCAACCAATCAAAGCTCAGCTCTATTGACAAAACAGAATTCCTCTGTATCAACCAATCAGTACTCAGCTGGGCAACATAACAGGACCCTGTATCTACAAAAAATACAAAAAATTAGCTGGGCGTCATGGTGTATTGCCCAATCAAAACTCAGCTGCCTCAATCAGAACTATGCAAGTTTCAAGCCTTCATTTGCATAAACGGACCTTATAGAGAACCTGGGTAGAAACTTTTGCTGTAAAACTCAGCCTTCCTTTTGGTCTCTGGAAGGCATCTTCATTTTACATCAGAGGGTGTGCCTCCCTGGTTTGCAAACTGTTCCTGGAATAAAATCTGTTTCCTCCAAAGTCCTTTTTCAGAGAACTTTTGTTCACACTTTCAAGAAACAGATCATTCCTGTCTCTCCCCGATGGTAGGAAAAGAACTACCCAATTTATTTTATAAGGCTAGTATAATATCATCTCCAAAGTCAGACAAAGACTGTGCAAGAACATACAGATACAGATGCAGATAAACTCCACTTACAAAATTAAATGTAAAAATCCTTAATAAATATTAGCAAATTAAACCTAACAACGTTTTTTAGAAATAATTTATTATCAAGAAGGGTTTATTCTAGGAATACAAGGATGTTTCTTCACTAGGAAATTGGTTAATGTAATCCATCACATTAATATATTACAGGAGAATAATTATATGATATCAATAGATGAGGATTTGATAACAATCAATATGTATTCATGTTTTATTTTTTAAAAAAAGCTCATAGCAAATTAAGAATATCAATAAATTTCCTTCACCTGATAAGCAGAATTCACCATGAACCAATAGCAAACATAATATATGAGAAGCTATCCTGTTAAATTCAAAAACAAGGATGCCCACCATCACTCTTACTATTCAACATCATACTAGACATCCTAACCTCTACAATAAGAAAGATACATTGAAAGAATAAGGATTGAAGAGACCAATTGCCCTTTTTACAGATATTATGATTGCCAACACTTAACATGTAAACAAATTATTAGAACAACATTGTTCAGCAAGATTACCGAGTGCAAAATTGACCTACAATGTTGCGGGAAGTCAGGGATCCCAAACAGAGGGACTGGCTGGAGCCACAGCAGAGGAACATAAATTGTGGAAGATTTCATGGACATTTATCAGTTCCCAAATAATACTTTTATAATTTCTTATGCCTGTCTTTACTTTAATCTCTTAATCCTGTTAGCTTCGTAAGCTGAGGATGTACGTCACCTCAGGACAACTGTGAAAATTGTGTTAACTGTACAAATTGATTGTAAAACATGTGTGTTTGAACAATATGAAATCAGTGCACCTTGAAAAAGAACAGAATAACAGTGATTTTTAGGGAACAAGGAAAGACAACCGTAAGGTCTGACTGCCTGTGGGGTCAGGCAAAAAGAGCCACATTTTTCTTCTTGCAGAGAGCCTATAAATGGACGTGCAAGTAGGAGAGATATCACTAAATTCTTTTCCTAGCAAGGAATATTAATATTAATACCCTGGGAAAAGAATGCATTCCTGGGGGGAGGTCTATAAACGGCCACTCTGGGAATGTCTGTCTTATGTGGTTGAGATAAGGACTGAGATACGCCCCGGTCTCCTGCAGCACCCTCAGGCTTACTAGGGTGGGGAAAAACTCTGCCCTGGTAAATTTGTGGTCAGACTGGTTCTCTGCTGTTGAGCCCTGTTTTCTGTTGTTTAAGATGTTTATCAAGACAATATGTGCACCGCTGAACATAGACCCTTATCAGTAGTTCTGCTTTTTGCCCTTTGAAGCATGTGATCTTTGTACCTACTCCCTGTTCTTACACCCCCTCCCCTTTTGAAACCCTTAATAAAAACTTGCTGGTCTGAGACTCAGGCAGATATCACGGTCCTACTGATATGTGATGTCACCCCCGGTGGCCCAGCTGTAAAATTCCTCTCTTTGTACTGTCTCTCTTTATTTCTCAGCCAGCCAACACTTATGAAAAATAGAAAGAACCTATGTTGAAATATTGGGGATGGGTTCCCCCAATACAACAATGAATATCATTCCTCATAAACCCACAGTAATCAACTAGATAATGAATTACAGTAAAACTCCTAATAACAAAAACAAAAACTATAAGGTAACTAAAAATAAAGTAATATATGTGTAAGCTCTTTACAGACAAAATGATAAAATATTACTGAAGGATATAAAAGAAACCTGAATGAATGGAGATGATACCATATTCACAGATAAGGAACTCAATATTATAAAGATGTCAGTCCTCTTCAATTTTATTATTTTGTTTGATGTAATTAAAGCAAAAGTTAAAAAGGATTTTAGTAGAACTTGAAAAAACAATATAAAATAAAGAACAGCAGCAGTTTAAGACTTGCCATGACAATTTCGGATATGAAAACAAGAAGGTAGGACTTGTTGTACCAGATGATGCGACTTATAAAGGGAATTAAACTGGTGAAGCATAGCAACAGACAGACAAACAAATGGAACAGAAAATGTGCCCTGTGCATAGGTGGGAACTTGGTATTTGAAAAGGGTGAATGTATGTCCTGCTTTACTTGGGACAGTCCCAGTTTATGCTTGTTGTCCCAGCACAAATGTGAAGAGCATTCCCTTTCATTCTTTAAAGTTTCAGGTTGGGGTCGGGTTTGGCGGCTCATGCCTATAATCTCAGCACTTTGGGAGGCTGAGGCAGGTGGGTCACTTGAGGTCAGGAGTTCAAGACCAGCCTGGCCAACATGGTGAAACCCCATCTCTACTAAATATACAAAAATTAGCTGGGTATGATACTGGGTGCCTGTAATCCAAGCTACTCAGGAGGCTGAGTCAGGAGAATCACTTAAACCCAGGAGGCAGAAGTTGCAGTGAGCCGAGATTGCACCATTGCACTCCAGCCTAGGAAACAGAATGAGACTCCATCACAAAAAATAAAATAAAAAATAAAAAAAAAAGTTTCAGGTTGGATGATTAATATACGGTCCTCCTATATATGATTAAAGTGGAATTACAAACTAGTGGGGAAAATACTGAATTGTTCAACAAATGGCATTGAAATAACTAGTTTTCCATACTAAAACAACAACAACACAACAAAAAAAACCTTAGAATCCTCACCATATAGAAAGGTAGATTCTGGGTGAATTACATAACTAAATGTGGGAAAAAACTTTTAAAATTAAACAACACAAAAGGCACAAAATATTTTTAAAAAGATAAATCAATTTGTCTTCATCAAAATAAAAAGTAAAATATGATATTTAAAATGAGTAATGATTGTTTCTCAATCGTTAGAGGCAAGATATCATTTGTAGTGTTTCACCAAATTATCTTTATCTGGCTTAAAGACAGCTAGATTGAACCATAGGTTAAATTTCCAAAACTGTTGATTTCATTTCATATTCTTTATTTCTGCTAAACTTAAGAATCATAACTTTTTAAACTTTTATTTTTTATTTATTTTGGAGACAGGGTCTCACTCTGTTGCCCAAGCTGGAGTGCAGTGGCATGATCTCGGCTCACTGCAACCTCCACCTCCCAGGGTTCAGGTAATTCTCATGCCTCAGCCTCCTGAATAGCTGGGATTACAGGGGTGCACCACCATGCCTGGCTAATTTTTGTATTTTTAGTAGAGACGGGGTTTCACCATGTTGTCCAGGCTGGTCTCAAACTCCTGACCTCAAGTGATCCACCTGTCTTGGCCTCCCAAAGTGCTGGGATTACAAGCGTGAGCCACCACACCCAGCCAAGAATCATAACTTAAAGGTCAGAAGGAATGGCAGCAAATGTTTGGGGACTCTGGCAGATAGTCATGAATATTCCTATTAAATGAACCCAGAAATTAAATATCTCACTAAAGACTGCTTTCAGCATTCACTCGGATAATACAGTGACAAGTCCTTAAGTCCAGAGAGGTGAATATTCCAACATGGGAGACACTAGTGTATGAATTTCTAGTTCACTCTTTGGCTCTGGGAGGTATTTCTTTAGACTCAATTGTAGCATTCAAATGTGGTTTCAAAATATGCCCAGTAATACACCATTGATTCCTTTCTATACCATGGATGAAGAAAATCATCAAGCATAGAGAATAAGCTAGATACTTAACTAACAAATTGTGTGCACCACAGACAGGTCTTCTTAACCAAACAAAGCATGGTACTGAAGCCCTGGTGCGATAAATTCTGGGTATTCAAAATACATGTATGCCTGAGATATTCCTCTTGACCATGCCTCTCCATGTCACAGAAATGGTCCTTATCAGCATTTTGAAGAAATGTTTTCATCTCCTCTCTCATTTCTAACACTCGTGAAAGCACTCTTAGTGACACAGGATTTATTTTTTTGGTGCCAGTTCCCTAACCAGAAACCTCTGTGGCCCGTGGCTCGGGCCACTCGGCCCAGCAGGCTGCACTCAGTCCATACTACTGTCCTAGATCCCATGCCTCCAAGGGCGATCCAGGTGCAGAGTGGCCAGGGGTAGGTGAGCAAGTGAGTGTGGGGTCTGGCCACTGTGCACAGCCAGGCATGCCAGCTGCTGTGGTAGTGGGCAGCTCCAGGCACCAGCACTGGCACCAGCTCTGGTTCCATGCAAGGCTATGGCTGGACCAGACATAAGGCAAGCAGCTTCCACTGTGGGCACTGAGGTCTGGACAGGGGAGACGCCATGGCACCCAAAAGCTTGGAGATGCCATAAGCCACAGAGCCCCAAAAAGGGTGTTACAGCCCTGGCTCTGGGAGCCCCTAGGTCTGAGCTCCCTTAAGGGCCACTGCTCTTCTCTCCTGTTGCCTGCAACCTGGTGAGCTGGAAGGCATGTTTCAGCCCTGTTTATGTCACAGCTCTTTCAGTCCTGCCATTCAGTGGGTCCCCAGTTCTTGTCCCATGTCCAGGAAGATTGAGGTACATGGACAACTGGAGGGTGAGCAAGGTGAAGAGGAGCTTCATTGAGCGAGAGAACAGCTCAATGAAGACCCGAAGGGCATAGCTCCTTCCTGTAGCTGGTAGTCCAGCCATCTGTCTAAGTCTGGCTGAGTCCAGGGTTTTCATGGGCTCAGAAGGGAGGAAGTATGTGCTGACTGGTCCATGGGTGGCCATGGGCGGCCCAGGAAAGCACCGTAAGTTCTCACTCCCTGCCGAGTGCTGCACCCGGAACCGACAGCCTGGCTTCAGGCCATCCCTGGCTTGAAGGTGGGTGAGGACCTGCCCCTTTCTACCCAAAAGCCTGTCTGCCTCCTGCCATTGACATGCCATCCATGGCACCCAGGCTGTTCATGCCAAGGGCACCTGACAGGCCCACAATGAGCCGCCCCCAGTCCCCGTGGTGTGCTCCTCAGTGCCCAAAGTCTGGAGGGGGCCAAGGCGGCAAGGACCTGGCGTGTCAGCACCACCCCAAGTGCATGCATACACACCTGGCCAGGTCATGACAGCACCCAGGCTCAGTCACAACTTTGCTCTGCACTGGAGCAGCAGGCACTGGGAGTCAGGAGAGGCCTGGGAGTTGGGAGAGGCCTGGGAGTGGGGGCAGGCAGCTCTTTCAAGCCTGAGGGTACATGGCATTTCCAGGGCCCCTGAGACTGCAGGGATGCCTAGGTCCAGAGCCGTGGCTGGGTGGCTGCACCTGTACCTGGGAGGGTGGGGCTCCCACCCCGTCAACTCAGTAGGAGGCAGGGCTCCCACCTGTTCCTGGCCCCCCAACAGGCTCTGCAGAGTGTGCGCCTGGGATGCGCCTACCCCACTGCAGCTGGCGTCTTTGTAGCAGCCGCTCCAGACGGGCCACTGCTGCCATCACTAGTGGCCAGCACACATCAAAAAGCAGAATCCTGTACTCTTGCCCTGTTGCTTTGGCCAGGAGGCTAAAACAACATATGTTGTTGTTGAGACCACATATGTTGAGACCACAGGGATGCCTAGGTCCAACAATGGCAGCCTAGGCTGCCATTTTGTCAGTGCTAGTTTTCCCTATTTCCTTCCACAGTGATCAAGAAACATATTTTATCTGCAAATGAAGCAGTGGGTGGATTAATGTTTAGGAGCAGGCTCTTCCGTGTGGCACTGCCCTTGGTGACTGCACCCAGTTGGGCCTAGTGAAACTGATGCCCACACACTTTTTCAACATACCTCATCAGATAAGTATTAATCACATGGAAAGTATCTTCTCCAGAGCAGAGGTTGTCAGTGATGAGCAGAACAAAGATTTGAGAAGCACTTTCCCTGCATCTGGTTCAGACTCTGCTCATCAATAATTTCATCCAGAATTAAGCAAAGTATTTGTTACTGCACACACAGATCATAAGTGCTCTGCTGCACTGTACATCTGAAATGCAACAACCACTGGTTTGCTCTGTCTCTCTCTCAACTTGATCTCTATCATTAACTTCACACCTGATTTATCATCTTCTTGGGGAAAACGCATTTATAATAACTTTTGCTATTCCTGGAATATAGTAGCATCCACTCTTGGCCCCTGCCAACCATGTCTCTGCGCTACAGTCAGAGAAATGGAGGCTGCATTTCTGCCCAAACTTTCCATGAGATATTACTGGTTGTGACAATAAATTCTCCCTTTTGGGTTCCGCTACCCTCAGGTTAATTGTGTTACTTGCAGCACAGTTCATTCCTTGCGTGAGATGAATCTGCCTTAGCACATTTCTATGGAGAGAGAGGCATTGAAGATAGAGGAGAGAGAGCTAGGAGGAGGTTTGCTGAACCAGGAGCTAAAGTCAGGAGCTGGTGTGCATAGAAGCAACAGCATGACAGAGGGGTGACCTTTAAGAAAGAAAGGACAGTAGAGCGGAGGGAAGATGGAGTGTGGATGGGGAAAGACAGGGAGTCTTTTGATGGTGTGAGATGTTGAGGGAGCGGAGGCCAAAACCAGTTTAATCTGGTCATTGCTGTATCCCAGCATCTAGCACAATGTCTGGAGCATGACATACACTGAAATGTTAGTTAAAGAAATGAAGGAGGTCAGGCCAAGTGGCTCCTTATTTTTTCTGACATAGAAGGCGAGGTCAAGCACTGCTTCCTGTGAGAGTAAGTGATGAGGGGGAGGGGGCTGGAGGAGGGTAGAGGGCTGGGGGCGTTGCTAGAGAGTCCCCTGCCCCATAATAATGCTTCCCCTGACGCTGACTGCACATCTGTGTCCCTGCAGTAGAGGATCCCTTTCCAGGGCAGTTCTAGAAAAACATGGATGACTTTGACTTTGGCTTTTTTGTTTTTTTTTTTTTTGAGACAGAGTCTTGATCTGTCGCCCAGGCTGGAGTGGTGCAGCAGCGTGGTCTCAGCTCACTGCAACCTCTGCCACCCAGGTTCCAGTGATTCTCCTGCCTCAGCCCCCTGAGTAGCTGGGATTACAGGCATGCGCCACCATGCTCGGTTAATTTTTGTATTTTTACTACAGACAGGGTTTCACCATGTTGGTCAGGCTGGTGTAGAATTCCTGACCTCAGGTGATCCGCCTGCCTTGGCCTCCCAAAGTGCTGGGATTACAGGCATGAGCCAGCGCACCCAGCCGCTCCTCCTCTTCCTATAAGGATGTTAGTCTTATTAAAGCCCACTTAATCCAGTGTGACTCAACTTGATTACATCTGCAAAGACCCTCATTCTAACTAGGTCACACTCACAGGTACTGGGGGTAGGACTTGAACATCCCTACATGGAAGGCCTGCCCTCTGCTGGGACATGCAGAACCAGCAGCGGAGTCTTGGATGTGGTGCCAAGAGCTAAAAGGTGCCAATTAAGTATGTTAATACGCTTGGGGCAGCATTCAGCTGCAGATCCAGAGATCTCTGGTTCAAAGTCACATCCACCTTGTTTACTTGCTATTTTTATTCACAAAAAGGTGGCTGACAAAGTAAAACTGAGCTAAGAGAGAGAATAAAAATTGCTCAGATAACACCGGGTGGGACTAAAGACAGCTATAAAGTCAACAGGAAAGACCATCTCTCCCGGGCATAGCACAGCTCTAAAACGTCATGACAGTCTCCTTCTTTGAGAGATTACTATTTTCTTATTTGCTGAGAAACCTTGTTCTCTAAAATCATAGACTGTCAGAAACTTTGAAATATTATCAGGAAGAAAGAAACAGCCCACTTAAAAATTGTTTAAATTAATACAGCTCAAATTTATTCTCATACAGTTCTGGAGACCTGGAATCCAAAATCTATTTCAGTGGTCCGAAATCAAGGTGTCAGTGGGGACATACTCCCTCCAAAGGCTCCAGAGGAGAATTGTTTCCTTTCCTTTTCCAACCTCTAGAGCTGAAACAGTATACTTTTGCCTGAAGGACACAAGTTGCTTTGAGGCAGAGAAGCAGCCTCAACTTCTGACTCATGTACAAAACTTCAGATAAGAGGCTTCTGGACACAGCATCTCATGTCTATTTCCCAGGCCCATGGTGCAGCCCACACCCAAGGCCCATCTCCACAGCCAAGGCCACAGCCTTGCTTTGCTTAGAGCCCGCTTCACTGAAATCTCCCCAAGCCTCCAGCCTTGCCCAAAAGCCTACCTGTTCCTTTGTTTGATGAAGCCCCCCAGGGTTCCTTGGTGCACACTCTCCCTCAGTGCAGAGGTGAATAAACTTGACTTAGTCTACTGTGATGCTAAGAGGCTGGGGCTGGCACAGTGATGCGACATCACCACCTCATCTGCTGCTGGGCTGCATGAGTTTGGATGAAGACAGAGCCCCAAGCAATCTTCTGGTCCTGACCACTGCCCACCCCCAGCAAGGGCTCTGGGACTTTGCCCTGCTCAGTCCTCTACTGGGATTTAACTCTTTGTGATTTTTTTCCCCTCTTTTTCTCAAATAGACACGTACCCTTTCTTTAACCTGTGTCCCTTTTTCTCTTTCCTTTCCCAGGCACTCTTTTTATTTATTTATTTTAATTTTTAATTTTGTTTAGAGACAGGGTCTCGCTCTGCCACCCAGGCTGGAGTACAGTGGTGCAATCACGGCTCACTACAGCCTCGAACTCCTGGGCTCAAGCGATCCTCCTGCCTCAGCCTCCCAAGTAGCTAGGACTACAGGTGCATACCACCATGCCAGGCTAAATTTTTCATCTTTATTTTTGTAGAGGTGGGGTCTTGCTACATTGCCTAGGCTGGTCTCAAACTCCTGGCCTCAAGCAATCCTGCCTTGACCCTCCAAAGTGATGGGATGACAGGCTTGAGCCACTGCGCCCAGCCCACGCATTTCTTCATCAAGGTGAGGTCTATTTCAGAGGTCAGGAAAAGATAGCCCACAGCCAAATCCTGTCTGCTTCCTGTTTTTGTAAATAAAGTTTTACTGAAATGCAGCCACACTCATTCATTTACTTATTGTCTATAGCTGTTCTCAAACAACAGCAGAGCTGAGCAGTCATGACAGAGGCCATCTGGGCCAGTGAGCCAAAACGGTTACTATCCAAGCTCCTGGAAGAAAAGTCTCCTCACCCAGCTCTGTCTTCACAACTCTGTCAATTCCATTCATTCCTCAGCTCGAGGCCAGCTGTCTTCCCTGCCCACATGCTACCTCTCTTCTATCAAAACTGCCTTCCAATGATAATACTCAGTTGCCAATAAATATATATAAACACTTAGACCAATGCCTGGCACAGAATATGCATTGCGTAACAGGTATTATTAGTTTTTTCTTTTTTTTTTTTTTTGAGATGGAGTCTTCATCTGTCGCCCAGGCTGGAGTGCAGTAGCATGGTCTCGGCTCACTGCAAACTCTGCCTCCTGGGTTTAAGCAATTCTCCTGCCTCAGCCTCCCAAGTAGCTGGGATTACAGGCATGCACCACCATGCCCAGCTCATTTTTGTATTTTTAGTAGAGACAGGGTTTTGCCATGTTGGCCAGGCTGGTCTTGAATTCCTGATCTCAGGTGACCCACCCACCTTGGCCTCCCAAAGTGCTGGGATTACAGGCATGAGCCACTGTGCCTGGCCTATTATTATTGTTTTTTAAAATTATTATTGTCCCCTTCCTCCCCCTTCATAGAACTCTCTTCTCCTCCCTTTGCTTTCAGGACACTGCTCCTTCCCCCTCATCCTCCCGCCTGGCTGGCCACTCTTTCCTCTGCCTGTGTAAAACAAAACCCTCTTCTTCTCATTCCACAGTTCTTGCAGAAAAGTCACACTCAGGAAGTCCACACTCAAACTCCGCCTCCTCCTCCCTCCTGTCTTCTCCCTTTCCTCTTACTCCTTCCCTCTCCTCTCCTTCCCCCCCTTTCTCTCCCTCCTCTTCCTCTTCCCTATTCTTTCCCTCTCCTCTACTTCTCTCTTCCCCTCCTCCCTCTCCTCCTCTCCTTCCTCCCTTGTCCCCTCCCCCTCCTCTTCTTCCCCCTAAGTGCTGCGTCAGTGATTGGCACTGCTAACTCTCCAAATCCCCAAACCAGACACCTAGGAGTGAACCCAGCCTGCCCTCAGCGGGACTGCCCCTGTATGCCACCTGCAGAGGTAGCATCCGCACTCCTAGTGCCTAGCCAGGTCTGCTCTCCTTCAGCCCAGTTCCTCCTGTACTCACTCGTCCTCTGGAATGCCCCCATCTCCTGCCAGTTCCATTCCCTAAGCCTCAGCTCTCTGTATCCTATGCCCCTCCAAAATAAGGAGCCACTGAACTACAGCATAGTCAGAGGACAAGCAGCTTGCTATGGTCCGTGGTTTAAATTCTGGTGCCCGCCATCTGCTCTGGCTGATCCCTGGGGCTGGGGCATGGAGTGTGAGGACTGGCTCCAGGGGTCCAGTTCATGCACGAGTTCAAATCTTGGAGTTCCCCATTAGCTTTTCCTTGCAGAAAGTGCTTCCCATGTAGCACATTCCTGCTCTTCTAAGTCCATATTCTAGCCCCCTCCATGGTCTTGGATGTATATAAATCTATTCATATGGCTCTGTCTATAAAGTCTTTACCATTTTGAGCCAATAGAAGACAAGGACAAGAGAAGATAAGAGAGTCTCTTTTAGTAACAGGGTCCTGAACCCAAAGTCAGAAAGAGTAGACTGAATCTGTCAATAAGGAGTGTGTGTGCCTGGGAAGAACATTAATGTTGAATCTCTGTTGTCAAACGTGCACTACGAAGGGCACAGATGAGTGACTCTGAAGGCCCTTCCAGCTATAAATGCCGGTGTCAGTCCTCTTCCTGAAAGTACAAGGAAGCTGCTACAGGAAGAGGAACTGTCACTTGTTTTGCATCAGGGAGATAAAATTGCAGTTAGGGAGGTTTGGCAGCTTTGAGGAGGCCCAGCTGGAATGAGCATCTGTGGTAAAATTTTATAGGAATGTTGGGCATGACTGCACAGTTAAAAGGTCTTGCTTAGGCTTACACTTCCATCAGGGGGTATAGCTCAGGGGTAGAGCATTTGACTGCAGATCAAGAGGTCCCTGGTTCAAATCCAGGTGCCCCCTGCTGTGTTCTTATTTTTACCCTCTGGAGCTGGTGTTGAAGATTCAGCACCCTTCTCCAATCCTAAATCTCAGGATACTGAGCCTCCCTAAATCTGTGAAAAAGCCAGTAGCAACTTTAAACCCTGTCACTGTCTCAGACTGATAAATTCCTTCAACTTGGACTTTTTATTTCACTTACCAAAGGCTTTGTTCTACCTTGCCTGGTTTTGTTTCACTTTTTCTACACGTTTTCATGACCCCAAGTCAGTGAAGTGCAGGTAAATGTTTAACGACCAGCTCTGAAGGGGGTGATTTGTAGTGTTTTCCAGTTTCACAGAGTGAAAAATAATCCCACCATGGCAAATTTCAAGCTACAAATATGAGATGATGAACATGGAGTTGGGAAGGTGTGCTAACAAATGGCTGTCTGCTGCAAGCTAGCTCAAGCATAACACTGCCCCAATCCACCTTCCCGACAGAGGCCTGGGCTCTCTGGCCGTGCTCTATCTTCGCGATGCCTACTGACATGAGGGCAGTGGTTCTCACTCACCCATTCATCCATGGAATCATTCATTCATTCGTCATCTGATTCCTTCTCAATGCCAGACACAGGAAAGACAGAGATAAGCAAGAACTGTCTGTGGTAAGCAAAATAGTCCGATGAAGAAATGATCCAAACAACGACAAGGACAGCTGAACAAAAAAAAGAAGGGGCGCTATTTTTAAATGAAATGTTCTATTACCATTAACATTCTCAACTAGATAATCTAAAACGCCTCCTACCTCAAAACACCCAGAAATGAAAGACAAGATATAGTAAATATATATTCTTATATATAGCTGAGCTCTCATAACAGTAAAGGATATCTCCGGGGTGGCAGTTGGGGATGAACTAAGACCCTGAGAGGTAATATGAGCTGATCCTGGGAATGCCTGTGGTGGTTGTGGTGAGCTAGCCAAGGTGCTTCAGTTTTCACAGCCATTTGGGTACAGGAGATTTGGCCTAAGACCTGAGTCTCCCTTCTCTTGTACCAAGTCAAACTCTTAGAGAGCCATAATATTAGTAAAAGCATAGGAAAAAAAAAAAAAGCATCCACTAGCATAAGAACACAAGACATCTTTCTCTTCCTAGGGAGGCAGAGGGCATCACCCCTGAGAATCCATAACCATACATCTATCCTCACACTTGTTATGGCTTTGAATTTACACCACCTACATGGTTCAGAAATTCCTCAACCTGAAAGTTAACATACAAAGTACTCAGGCTAACAATGATTCTAGAGTATCCCCTGGTGGCTCACACCTGTAATCCCAGGACTTCGGGAGGCTGAGGTGGGTGGATCACCTGAGGTCAGAAGTTCAAGACTAGCCTGGTCAACATGGTGAAACCCCGTCTCTACTAAATATAGAAAAATTAGCCAGGTGTGGTGGCGGGCGCCTGTAATCCCAGCTACTCAGGAGGCTGAGGCAGGAGAATCGCTTGAACCCGGGAGGCGGAGGTTGCAGTGAGCCGAGATTGCGCCATTGTGCTCCAGCCCGGGCAACAAGAGTGAAACTTCGTCTCAAAAAAAAAAAAAGTACTCAGGCTGACAATGATTCTAGAGTATCCAAAAGAAGCAAACACAAACCATGAAGGACATACCCTCAAGCCAGGCTGCACAGGATTCCTACTGATAAAGCCTGGCTTAAGACGGCCTCACAATTCAAAGTAATAAAATATACAAGGAACCAGCCTATTATGAGTGAGAGCCACCAAACAAAATAAAGTCATAAAGTCAGGCCATAGAGTTACCAGATAGATACTATAAAGTAAGGATACTTAAAAATCTTTAAGACATGAGGAATTGAAAGCGTGGACACCTATGCTTTTTTTTTTTAAAGATAAAGCAGATACATCTAAAACGAAAAGTGCAGTCACTAAAATTGATCATTTAATTAACAGATTAAACACACATTAGACAAAACTAAAGAGAGATTTAGGAATGAAAGAATGTAAATCTTTTAAAAATCACTAAGAATGAAGCACAAAGGCCTAAAAAAATGAAAAATATCTAGCTAAAAGAGATGGTGCAGAATAAAGGGGTCCAACAAAGGTCAAATACAAATTCCACAAGAAGAAAGTGTAATGGGGAAGAGGCAATATTTATTTTATTATTATTTATTTATTTTTTGAGACAGAGTCTCGCTCTGTTGCCCAGGCTGGAGTGCAGTGGCGTGATCTCAGCTCACTGCAACCTCTGCTTCCTGGGTTCAAGCAACTCTCCTGCCTCAGCCTCCTGAGAAGCTGGGATTACAGGTGTGTGTCACCATGCCTGGCTAATTTTTTGTATTTCAGTAGAAGCAGGGTTTCACCATATTAGCCAGGCTGGTCTCAAACTCCTGACCTCAGATGATCTGCCCACTGTGGCCTCCCAAAGTGCTGGGATTACAGGCGGGAGACACCACACCTGGCCTAAATTTTTTTTTTTTTTAGACGGAGTCTCTGTTGCCCAGGCTGTCGTGCAGTGACACGATCTCAGCTCACTGCAAGCTCCGCCTCCTGGGTTCATGCCATTCTCCTGCCTCAGCCTCCTGAGTAGCTGGGACTACAGGCACCCACCACCACACCCAGCTAATTTTTAAAATTTTGTATTTTTAGTAGAGACGGGGTTTCACCATGTTGGCCAGGCTGGTCTCGAACTCCTCACCTCGTGATCCACTTGCCTCGGCCTCCCAAAGTGCTGGGATTCCAGGTATGAGCCACCATGCCCAGCTTGGGAAGAGGCAATATTAAAAGATATAATAGCTGAGAATTTTCCAGACTTGTACAAAGATGTGACACCTCAGATTTAGGACTCACGAGTTCCAAGAAAGATAAATAAAAGATCCATACCTAGCCACATTGCAGTGAAACTTCATGATACCACAGATAAAGAGATTTTTTTTTTTTTTTAGATGGAGTTTTGCTCTTGTTGCCCAGGCTAGAGTGCAATGGTACGATCTCTGCTCACTGCAACCTCTGCCTCCTGGATTCAAGTGATTCTCCTGCCTTAGCCTCCGAGTAGCTGGTATTACAAGCATGCACCACCATGCCTGGCTAATTTTTTTTGTATTTTTAGTAGAGTCGGGGTTTCTCCAGGTTGGTCAGGCTGGTCTCAAACTCCTGACCTCAGGTGATCCTCCCGCTTCAGCCTCCCAAAATGCTGGGATTACAGGTGTGAGCCACCATGCCCGGCCAAACAGATGATTTTAAATGAAGCCAGAGAAGTTAAATCATATGCAAAGGAATAATTAGACTGACAGCAGACTTTTCAATAGCAACAATGAAAGTCAGGAGACAATGGAATAAAATATTAGAAGTGTGAAACAGTTCTCTCCCTGGCTAAAGTATCATTCAGGAGTGAGAAAAATGTAAGACATTTTATATAACTGAAAGTATCCACTTCTAAAATATCCTTGCTGAAATAAATTTTAAAAGTTCTGCTTCAGGAAGAACATTGAACCCAGAAGGAAGAAGAAAGAGGCAAGAAAAAAGAGTGAACAAAGATAGTGGTAAGCACATTGGTAAATCTAAACAGCATAGATTGTATAAAACAAAAACAATGACTTCAAATATCAGGAGAGAGTCTTAAAAACAAGATGTAACTAAAAAGAACAATAATTACACACAAGACAGAAGGGGAAGAGTGTGATTAAACTCATATTCAAAAAGCTTTCTATCATTTGCGAGAAGATCAGAAGTAGTAATATTAGATTCTATTAAACCAAATATGTGTGTAAAATTACAGAGTAACCCCCAAATGAATAAAAAAGGAAAGCATAACTTTCAAATCAGTAGATTCATGATTATGATAGAGATTGTCAGACTGGATTCAGCAGCAACAACAAAATCTAGCTACATGCTCTTATATGACACACATCTGAAACATAAATATACACAAAGTTTGAAAGTAAAAGGACAGGAAAAGATATATCAAAGAAATACTTGCCAAAATAAAGTTAGTGTAGCTGCAGCAATATCAAACAAAATGGATTATAGACAAAGACTATTATTAGGGATAGTGTTACTTTCTAATAATAGAATGAACAATTCTCCAGGAAAATACTACAATTCTAAATTTGTAAGCACACAGCCTCCAAACACATGAAGCGAAAATTCTCACAAATTCAGGGAGAAATTGACAAATGCACAAACTTGATATGAGATTTTAACACCTCTTTAGTAACTGATAGTTCCAAATGCAAAAAGATGATAAACTATAGAAGGCATAAACCACATGATTGATAAGCTTGATTTTACAGCTCTAACTAGATCCTACACCAATATTAGAATATATGTACTCTTTTAGGCAAACATGGAACATTTTCAAACATCTATTGCACACTTGGCCACAAAGCAGTCTCAGAAAATTCTAAAAAATCAACATCACTTACTACATTCTCTGACTATAAGGCAAAACTCAAAAACAAAATAACTCATAAAAAGATTCGTATTTGGAAATTAAAAAGTACTTTTAAATAATCTCATGGATGGAAAAAGAAATAATAATGAAAATCAGAAAATATTTTAAAGTTGCAGCCATTTTCACATGGAGGACTGGCCAGCACAATTTGCCTTTAGATTCATTTGGGAAAAGTGCCGACTAGTTCACCAAAAGTCAATTCACAGAATGACCAGATAGCCAAAAGCCAAATATGGTAAAAGCTAAACCACTGAATATCAACTTGCTAAACAACCAATCTGAATTATTGAAATTTTTTTTTTTTTTTTTTGAGACAGGGTCTTGCTCTGTCACCCAGGCTGGAGTGCTGTGGTGTGATCTTGGCTCACTGCAACCCCCCTCTGCCTCCTGGGCTCAAGAGATTCTCCCACCTCAGCCTTCCAAGCAGCTGGGACTACAGGGGTACACCACTGCACCTGGCTAATTTTTGCATTTTTTGTAGAGATGGGGTTTCATCATGTTGCCTAGGCTGGTTTGGAACTCCCAGGCCCAAGCAATTCACCAGCCTTGGCCTCCCAAAGTGCTGGGATTACAGGTGTGAGCCACCGTGCCTGGCCCCAGCCAAGGAATTTTTAAAGATGTGTTTCAGCTCCACTCCTGCCTTTGTCTGTGTCCAGAGCCATCCAATAAACCTGGTTCAGGACAGGTCTTCACAACTATTTTTTAACGCACACACACGGGCTGAGGTAAATACAGGTCTACAGGGTCAAAGGCGCAACTAAAATTTGGGGGATAGGGGTGCCAGGAAGTGTCTCCATAATTTAAATAATTGGCCATGCAGCAAATTTCATGTTGGTGAACTGCTTTTAGCGACTGATGGTCCACAAATGGGGCAGGAAGCCTAGCCAGGAAGTGGACGTTTGAGTCAAAGAGGTGCCAAGAATCTGCACAGCTTAAAACAAAGGTGCATCTTACTTGGATAGAGATTTCTTTCTACAGGTGTTTAAGTTTAAGGCAGGGGTCCCCAGTCCCTGGGCTATGGACCAGTACCAGTCCTGGCCTGTTAGGAGCTGGGCAGTGCAGCAGGAGGTGAGCTGCGGGCAAGCCAGGGAAAGCTTTATCTGTAGTTACAGCCACTCCCCCTTGCTCGCATTACCCCTGAGCTCTGCCTCCTGTCAGATCTGCAGGTGCTGGATTCTCATAGGAGCCAGAACCCTGTTGTGAATGCGGGATCCAGGTTGCGGGCTCCTTAGGAGAATCTAATGCCTGGTGATCTGAGTTGGAACAGTTTCATCCCAAAACAACCCCCCTCCCAGTCCATGCAAAAATTCCCTTCCACAAAACCGGGCTCTGGCCCAAAAGGTTGGGGACCCCTGATTTAGGGGGTTTTAACGTTTAGGGATCCCGGGCCGGAGGGTGGGCGGTGGAGAGGAGCTGGGAGCAGGAACACATTACTGTAAGGAGCCCGCCTCACCTCGGCACGGAGGTGGGACCCGGCCTAAAGCCCAGGAGGCGACTTACCCTGAGGGCTGTGGCCTGTAGGGCTCTTGAAAAGTTGGACTTTTAAGTTTTCCCTTTCCGCGAGGTGGGGCCTTGTGATATCTTCAAATCCTTGTTCAGCAGGCTGCGCACACGCCGGTCCTGTGTCTAAGGTGTCTCGGGTATGACCGAGGGGGCTTTGCCCGAGTGGGCGTGCGCCTTTCCTCGGAGGCCGGGACGAGGGGTTGTCGGCATCGTACCCGAGTCCGTGATCATGGCCGGCGCGGCTGCAAGGGCCAGCCCCGGGCGACTGGGCGAGGAATTCCCTTTCCTTCCCTCCGATATTGCCCAGGCAGAGCGCTGTCTGGGCCGCAAGGTCTGGACGGGGCTTCCAAACTCAGAGCAGAGTCTCCTCTGCGTGGGACCACAGCCTCCCCTTCCCCTCCAAGCTTCTGTCTGGCACAGCAGGCTTAGCCCCGCAGGCCCCCTTCCAGCAGCCTTCTATAAAAATGACGGGGTCCTTCTCCAGACAGGAAAACCAGGCTCGCTGCGCCTCGCCCGCACCCCCGGAGCGCTCTCGCAGCGCCCGCCCAGACCAGGCCTTCGAACTCGTGAAGCGCAGGGGGAGGCAGAGGAGAGTGGGCCGCGCTTCCTTCCCGCATCACACGTTTATTTGAGGCCTACTATGTGCCAGGAACAACTGGGGTTACCACCCCAGCAAACAGGCACGCAAAATGTGACACGAAGGTAGGTCATGGCTGCGGCGAGCGGGGGCGCGGGCGAAAGACGTGAGGATGTACGGGGGCCTGGCAGCTGCTCTGTCCCACCCACGCCCGGCCGGACCCTCGACCCCTTTCACTCCAGGTCGGGTTTCCCCGACCGCGGCCTCTGGGAAAGATGGGTCCCTCTTCATCCCCACCATCAGCCCCTGGCACATGGGACGCGCTGAGTGGTGGCTGCGGGAATGAATGAGTGATAAGCGGCGCGTACCCGCGGGCTTGCACGCCCACAGCCGCCCCGGCTGGTCTCGGCGCGCAACCTCTACCCGCAGCTGGGGGCGGGGACGAGGGGAGGGGGCGGGGACGAGGCCCGAGCCAGGTCCGCCCCGCCCTGTCTCCGCCCCCCGCTTCCGAGCCGGCGCCGCGGCGCCTTCTGGGAAGTGTAGTCCGCGTCTGCGCCGGCCGGCCGGGCCGCCGAAGCCGGGGGCTCCGGGCGGAAACGGCACCACCCACCAAGGGATGCGAGGCGCTCGGGGCGGGCTCAACGAGGCCGGGGGCGGGCCCGGGCGCGCCCACCCCCGCCCCTCCCCCTCGGCCCAGGCCCCCGGCCCCGCCTTCTCCTGCGCGGACCTGGGCCGCCGCCGACGAGGGTCGCGTGCGCCCGCGCCAGGGCCCGCGCCGGAAACCGAGGAGTGGCGGGGAGGCTGAGCCCGGGGATGGCGCGCCAGGTAAGGCAGGCGGACGCGCGGACCCCTCGGCGCAGTGCGGCCCCGAAGGCGGTAGGGCGAGAAAGAGCTGGGACCCCCCCGCAACTTCGGGATCGGCTGGGTGAGGCTGGGCAGGCCTGATGCTCAGGGGTTCGTGCCGGGAAGTTCAGGTCCTCGGACAACCTCTCTCCAGCTCTCCGCCGCCGGTACCCACGGCCCAGTCTCCACCTGGGGAAACCCCCTTGGCGTGGCTTGTTTCGTTACAAGTTATCCTGGTAGAGTGGGCATGAAGGCCTCGGAGGCAGTGAGTAAATCTCATACTTCTGTTCTTGGTGGAATCCTGGATCCCGGGGGCTGGGGACGTGGAAATGGGGAGAAACAAAGATAGAACAAACCCCAAGTTTTGTCTTGGGAAGCCTGCAGGTAAGGCGTTTAGATCTGAGAACTGGAGGGAGAGCCCCAGGCCGTGACAGCCTGGGCACCGTTTGGGCTAGGTTGTGTGTGGGCTGTGACGATGCTGGGAAACTCTGGTGCTGATATCAGTGAGGTATCAGGTATCTGGTGCTGATACCAGCAACTGCTCCACGTTCTTCTGGATGGGCACCTGGAGCCAGTTCTGCAACCGTGGTGGCTCCTGAGCTTTGGCCAGTCCGAGGCAGCCATGGATGGGGGGCAGCGTGTGACTAGGCAGAGCAAACACTGTGCCAGGCCCTTGGCGTCATTAGTGCCCCCAAGCATTTGGGGAGAAGGGAGAGGCTAGGCAAATTGGATGTTGTTGGGCAGGGACAGTCAAGTGTCCTTTTCAGGTCTGGCTGCACAGTTAAGTAGCCTAGGGACACCCTGGTTCAGACATGCCCATGGCCCCATCCTAAGGCCTCCTCATACCACAGTTTCCTGTTCTGTAAAGTGAGGAGTTTGGGCCATTGACCTTTCAGATCTGATGAGGGGAATATCCTCACACTACGTAGCTTCATGGAGAAGGTGGCCAGGAGTGACCTTGGGGAGTGGTAGGTCACTGTAAGGTGGAGAGGAGCAGGGAGGGTTCCCAGAAGCCCAGGGCAATGTGAGCACAGCCTCCAGGTTGAGAGGTCCTGTGGCAGGGTCTGATCAGGGAGCCCGAGCCTGAGGCCCACTGGGAGAGCAGGTCTAGGTTGGGAAGGACTGTGAGAGAGGGGCAGGTCCAGCAGGCACTGAAGCTGCAGTTTTTGTGCTGGGCTAGTGACACGGTGGAAGGGTGATGTTAGGAGGACCAGTGTGCAGCTATGAGCTAGGAGGCTGCCCAGTTACAAGAGTCCTGGGTCAGCCCAGAAAGCTTTTCTCCATTGGTTGGGGGAAGGAGGTGAAGTGGGGCCCGAGGAGGAAGGCCGGTGGTGTGTGGGCAGAGCCAGCCAGTGGTGGCCTTCCTCCTCCCGAAGATGAGTTTTGTAGCCCAGGTGTTTGCACACTCACACTTGCTCACTCCCTCACACACAAAACCCTCACTCTTTGCTTTTTCTGGGGAGAGGGAGGCCACTGGCAGAAGCGCCTACCCTGGCCACAGTCAGTTCCCATTCTCATTTTCTAAGAATTTTATCACAAAACAGTTTGTCTTGAGGCTGAGATGGTGAGAGGCCTGGAAAGCATCTCTTACAGATTCCTGGAAGAGCTGGGATATATTTAGTCTGGAGCGAGAGAGACACCGGTGGTCAGGAGCAGTATGTGGAAGAGCTCAGCTGGCAGGCTCAGACCTGCAAGCGGGCATTAGGCAGACAGGTCTGGCTGCAGTATTACTAATCATAGCACTTAATATTCATAGTCCCCGCATTTGTTCTAGGCACTATTCCTGTATTTGTTTTGTCTTCACAATACCTCTATGAGGTAGGTTGTTATGATCCCAGTATTACAGATGAGTTCACTGAGGCCCAAATAGGTTAGGTTTGGCTGAGGTCTCATAACTAGTATGAAACAAGGCAGGGATTGGAATTCTGGCAGCCTGGCTCCTGAGGCTAGGCCCCAGTCACCGTGCTCTGCCCCGGTCTCTGGGTCCGGAACCTCTTAATGGCCACATCAGGTCAGCAGTGGTACCAGTGCAACCAACATAGCTGGTATCATGTTCTTACCTAGAGCTCAGACCTGCCTTGCCAGCTCTGTGTTGAGCCATCAGAATGTCATGTGGGAACCCTCTGCCTGCCATGAACCAAAATTCCAGACTCCCAGAAGGAAAGCAGGGGTGTGGCACACACCACGTCATTTGCTCAGCCTAGGCACCTTGAGCCACTCCCATCATTTAGGGAATGGTGGGAAGCCTCCTGACACCTAAATACCTGGAAGCCAGCCTGAGCCCTCCTGGCAAGCAGGCCTTCCTAAGGACAGCGGTCTAGGGCTGCTCTGCACGCTCTTCTGCATAGACCCTGATGTTGGCTACATTTTCTCTGTTCCAAGATGCTAGGAAGAAATGTAAATAACTCTTTGAGAGAAGTTTTGGAGGGTGTCTGAGACTGTTCCTGAGAGGGAGTGACCATACCTGGGCCAGAGCCACAGAGGTTTGCTCAGGGAGAGTCTGCACATCGAGGCAGGAGGCAAAGGCTGCAGCATCTCACTGCCCATCAGCCTCTGGGCCTCCGGGCCTCAGGCAGGCAGTCACGGGAGGGGCTGCCCCTTGCCAGGGGTGTAGATGCAGCCTGGCCAGAGGGGAGCACTGGTAAGTGTGACTGCATGGGACAAGTTATCAGCTGTTCAGGGAGAACAGGCAGAGAGCCCGGCAGTAAGTGGACAACAAGGCTGCCGGTTAGTGGCAGGGACAGTTTTTTGTTTTTCTTGAAACAGGGGCTGGAGTACAATGTTGTGACCTTGGCACACTGCAAATTCTGCCTTCCAGGTTCTCCTGCCTCAGCCTCCCAAGTAGCTGTGATTACAGACACCCACCACCATGCCTGGCTAATTTTTGTATTTTATTAGAGATGGGGTTTCACCATGTTGGCCAGGCTGGTCTTGAACTCCTGACCTCAGGTGATCCACCCACCTGGGCCTCCCAAAGTGCTGGGATTACAGGCGTGAACCATCACACCCAGCCTGGGACAGTTTTTAGAATCACTGACTTGGGTGGGTGCAGGGGCTCACGCCTGTAATCCTAGCACTTTGGGAGACCAATGTGGGAGAACCACTTGAGCCCAGGAGTTCAAGACTGGCCTGGGCAACATAGTAAGGTCCTGTCTTTTTTAATTAATTAATTAAAATAACTGCCCTGAGCAGATGAAACAAGCGGTGAATTGTCTTTGCTTTATTAGGGGCGTGTTCATTTTCTTTAATAATTTGTTCTCACAAATAAACAGTTTAACATTCATTTCTCAACAGGAAGGACCCTTCCCATAATTTACCTTCTGTTTGCTTAATTTGCACAGTTAATTTTTGCCATAATTTTAAATTCAAGCCTATTGATGCTGGTCATTTTCTAGTGTCTGATGGCCACTTTAAAGTCCACTGAAGGACTTTTTTTTTTTTTTTTTTTTTTTGAGATGGAGTCTCGCCATATTGCCCAGACTGGAGTGCAATGGCGTGATCTCGGCTCACTGCAACCTCTGCCTTCCGAGGTCAAGCAATTCTCCTGCCTCAGCCTCCTGAGTAGCTGAGATTACAGGCGCCCACCACCACACCTAATTTTTGCATTTTTAGTAGAGACAAGGTTTCACCATATTGGCCAGCCTGGTCTCGAACTCCTGATCTCAGGTGATCTGTCTGCCTTGGCCCCCCGAAGTGCTGGGATTACAGGCGTGAGCCACCACACCCAGCCGAAGGATTATTTTGTAAAGAAACATAGACAAAAATGCTCGTGTTATTTTAAAAAGCCACAGGGTAGGAGGAGATGAGTACAGAGAATAGGAGATAGGAGTACAGGGTGTAAAGGAGCCTGGTGACCCAAAGCTTCCAAGGGCAACCCCAGGTTTCTTCTGAGCACTTCTCTAAACCCAGCACACAAACTAGGTGGACAGCAAGAATGTCTTCTCTCACAGCCCTGCAGACCCGAAGCCCTACGTCACAGTGTGGGCAGGCCACACTCCCTCTGAAGGCTCTGGGCCAGGATCCTTCTTGCCTCTTGTGGCTTCTGGTGGCCCTGGGCATTCCTTGGCTTGTGGCTGCATGACTGTAGTCTCTGCCTGTCTTCACACAGCTTTCTTCTTTTGTGTCTGTCTCTGTGTCTCTTCTGATAAGGAATGAGTCATACTGGACTAAGGGTCCCCCCTACTTAGGAGTATGACCTCATCTTAAGTAATTCCATCTGCAGGGACTCTGTTTCTAAATAAGGTCCTACTTACAGGCGTGAGGGTTAGGACTTCAGCGTGTCTCTGCAGAGACACAGCTCACCCCCAGCACTGTCTCTTGAGGGGATTCCTGCATGTCAGACCCTGGCTATTATCCTGGAGTGTGCGCCTGGAGGCCTAGGTGGGGTTACCAAGTGCAGGGACAGCTAGGCTGTCCCCTCTGGGATGGAACAACCAACCCCCCCGGAGACTGTGCCTGCAGGTGTCCATCACCTTCAAGGACTTGGCCGTGCGGTTCTCGGAGGAGGAGTGGCGGCTCCTGGAGGAGGGGCAGAGGGAGTTCTACCGAGACGTGATGCGGGAGAACTACGAGACGCTGGTCTCTGTGGGTAAGGACGGGAGGGAGCAGCACGTGTGGCAGGAGCCTGGTGGGCGGTGGAAGGGAGGCCGGAGTCCCTGGACCCGGCAGCCTTAGTCTTTCCACCTGAGAAATGAACACGGGGATCGTTCACGCTGCTGCTATTCTATGTCCCGGGACCGGGTTCTAGGTACAATTCGGTGGGGGTATGCGGCGGCCTCTGAGGTTCCGACCACTCTGCGGTTCTTTGAGTTTAAGTGGTCACATGAATGTGCACAGACCTGCAGGGGCCTGGGCTGCTATGCAACTGTGTGCGAAGCGGAGACCACTCCATTCCCAGGGCCACAGTTCCCTCTTCTTTCCCAGGGACAGCTGAGCTGCTCCCCCTCTCTGCTTTCCTGTCACCCTCAGAGCCTGGAAGAGCTGTTGGGGGAGGGAGCCACGCTGATGAGGGGCAGGAGCCTGCTGGTTGTGGAGATCCCCAGGGTAAGTTATCTGTCAGACTTTGGGTGTCTCCTCCCACTCATCGGTCCTCAGCCCCAGGCAATGCGTGACCTCAGCCTACTCAGTCCAGCCTCTCACCTCCCTGCCTCCCCTACTGCAACCTCCCAAGCTTTCACCCCTCATCCCTCTGGGCTGGAAGCCTGTTATGCAGAGAAGCACTCAGAGAAAGCCTGGGGTCACCCTGGAGAGTACCTCCTGCCTCAGGCCCCCCACCCACCACCACCCTGAAGCCTTATCACAGCCACCCCTGCAGAACCTGCTCCAGCTCCCAAAAGTCCTGCCACGAGGCTTACATCCCAAGACCTCAGATGGTGGATGTGCTCCACCGGCCCAGACTGGGCAAGGCCAGGCATTTAGGGGGTGCCAGGAAAGGCAGAGGGCCCAGATGGTGGAAGAAGTGTAGCGGCAGCCCGCCTGGGCATTCCCCTGGGAGGCATGGAGATTAATGAGTAACGTAGAACAGAGGAGCCCTGTTACCCAGGCCCCGCCCCCATGCCCTGGCTGTCCCTTGGCCAGAGCGCCTGGCCTGAGCCCAGGTCCTCTATATCTCATGGGACATGGTGTCTCCTCTGGCTGCTCCTCATGTGGCTGGGAGGATTACGTGAGATGCTGGGTGTGAAAACACGCACGTAGGTGTGAGTGCTGAGCAGCCGCAGGGGTGCGGGGGGGTCACTGTGGCCTCTCTGCAGGGGGACAGCCCCGGCACAGCCTGCACCTCACAGCCCTGGTGCAGCTGGTGAAGGAGATCCCAGAGTTCTTGTTTGGAGAAGTCAAGGGCGCTATGGACAGCCCCGAGAGCGAGAGCCGGGGAGCCAGCCTGGATGGAGAGAGAGCGAGCCCCGAGGGTAAGTCAGACAGTGGGGCAGTGCACGCAGCCTCCTCTGCACTCCGCATGATGAAGCACAAGTCCACGGCACTGCACTGCATGTGGGCTTGCAGGCACAGGCCGGGAGGCAGAGTCACCTGCTGTTCCTCGTGGCTAGGCCGTGTGCCGCCCTCTGAGCACATGCCCATAGCTGGCGAGAGGGCAGCTCTGACTTTCGCATGGTGGTTTCTGTGTGGCTTTGTCACCCTCCACCCACCATGGCCCCATTCAGAGCCCAGTGATGACAACACATAGGTGGCTGACATCCTGGTCATTGTTAGTACATGGCAAGGAAAGGACCCAGAATGTGACAGTGTGACAATGTTAGGGGCATCTTACCAGTTGTTGATTCTCCCTCTTTCCCGACAGCAGCTGCGGCAAGAGAGCCCTGCCCTCTCCGAGGCCTGCTCAGCTGCCTTCCAGACGGCCCTACCAGCCAGCCCCACCTGGCCACCACGCCCACCGACAGCTCGTGTTCCAGTGGCCCAACTGGTGACGGGGTCCAGGGAAGTCCTCTCCCCATCAGTGAGTCTGACACAGCAGGGACAGGGAGAACCAGCATTTCAAAAGCCCTGATCGTGGCGTCAGAGGACCTGGACCCTGTGCCCTCTTCATTTTTTTCTAGGACTCAGTTCCCCTGTTGTGCTGTTCTTTTGTTAACAAAGTACGCCAGGGAGCAGGACAACATATTTAGCCTCTGGTGTAACCACCAAAGAGGAGGCATGATGCTCAGCCCCTGGGGAGCCTGTCATCCCGCCCCGATCACTGAGCACTTTGTACACAGAAAGTCTCCGGCAGTTTCTAACATGCAGGCCCACGGCCAGCAGCATTGACCTACCTGTGTGCACTGGTCTGATCCTTAGACCGTCTCATCACAGCAACCCTAACTGCAGAGCAGGGCAAGGGGAGCTCCTAGGATTTCTCTGGGGTCTCATTTTATTTTTAAAACTTCTCACAAATTTTGCATGTCTGTTTTTATAAAAAAGTACTTCAAATTTATATGGAATAAAATTGGCACTCCCAAAGAGCATACCCCATTTAGCTGTGGTTTCATCTGGTGTTCAGGGGTCGTCGGGCACACTTGCTCTGGGGTTCTGTGTGCCCTGTGTGTGCCCTGGTTTGAGAAGCGTGAGTGTGAGATTGTGGCCTACATGTCAAGGCTGCCGGCATCACTTCCTGAGCCAAATTCCGAGGCTGGGCTCAGGGGGAAGGGTCTGGGAGTGTTCACAGTGAACCAACAGTCTTGCTGTTTCCAGTTAAACCAGAAAGAAACGGTAAAGGCCCTCAGCCCACCTCGAACAGGGACTTGGGTGGCTGGAGAGGGCTGTCCTCTATGGGAACCAGATCTGGTGTGATTTTCCAGAGTCTGGAGCTGGGGCTAGAAAGGCCCTCTTGTCTTCTCCTGCAACAGAAACTGCCGACAAACCGTGGCCTACAAGGAAGGAAGGCCCAGGAGCCCTGGGCGGGGAGCCCAGCCCTCCCACCCATAGCCCCAGCAGGAGGAAGAGCCACAGAGGACAGGAGAGAGGGACCTCAGAGGCCGGTGAGAGGCGGGCTTTCCTTAGTGGGGTAGCGATGGGGAAGTGTGTTTAGTTCACACGAGGAGGTCATGCTGCTCCGCCGCCTGGGCCTGGTGGCAGCTCCACCGGGCAGGCCTTGTCTGCATTCTCACGGGTGGGAATCTCAGCCGCCCGGAGACCTGAATGCCTGCCAGCGCTCCCGGTGTCCCGTCAGGACTGCACTGACCCAGGCCCACCTTGCATGTGCCACAGGAATTTCTCCTGGGAACAGCCCCTTGCAAGGCCTCATCAACTGTCTGAAGGAAATCCTTGTGCCTGGGCCCCGGCACCCCGAGACATCCCCAAGCTTCTTGCCACCTCTCCCTAGCCTGGGCACGTCCAGGCTAACCAGAGCAGACCTGGGGCCTGGGAGCCCGCCCTGGGCAGGTGAGTTCTGGGGCCTCAGGCTGAGGTCTCTGAAGCTTGGTTTGCATTTCAACAGCGATTCCTCCTGCTCCAAACTGTCTCCCTTAGGGATCGTTACCAGCTTGGTCGCTGCTGTGTTGCCAGTGTCACCTTTCTGGAGCCAGGTGGCTCTCTTAAGGGCAGCGTTTGGTCAGCTGGGAAAAGGAAACTCGGAAGCAGGCTTTGCCCTGGTTTCTTCATGTCTCTTCCTCCTCCTGACTTGGGACCCGAGGGGAAGAGCTGCAGAGCTCATGTGTTGCTTTGCATTGACGCCAGGCATGATGCATGGGGTGGGCTTGGGCTCTGGACAGCATGGTGGAGGGGCCGGGGCACAGGTCTTGGAGTCAGACCCGGAGAGGCTCCTGATGCCTTGAGCCTAGGCTGTTCCCACTCACAGGGCCGCAGTGAGCTTAGCTGCAGTAATGTACTTACTGTACAACTCCATTTTCCTCAAATGTAAGTTCTGTTCAGGACCCCAGAGCTGTCTCAAACAGTGACCCTGACAGCCCACTTCCTTCAATTTGTCCTCAGAGTGATGCCACTTGTCTGCCTGCAGGGCGAATTCCATGGCTTCCCTCTTTGCCCTGTCCGGTTCTGGCAGGTGTGTGGACCCAGGCACTGGGAAGACTCAGCGAGCCACTGGAAGAGCCTCATCTTCAGAGTTGGCCCCACGCCCTTCTAACTTGTCCCCTGTTTGTTGTTTGTCATGAAGGCTGAGGACACTGAGCTCCAGGTGAAAACATGTTCCTTTTTCCTTAGTGAAGACCGAGGCGGTTTCAGGGGATTGTCCCCTCCAGGGTCTGCTACACTGTCTGAAGGAGCTCCCCGAGGCCCAGGACAGGCATCCCAGTCCCTCAGGAGTGGGGAACCGACGGCTACAGGAGAATCCAGGAGCCTGGAAAAGGGGTTCTGGAGGTAAAGGCTTCTCGCTGGGCTGGGAGGGCCCCCAGACATCCTACATTACCCTGCCCCAGGCAGGGCTGTAGGTGGCCCCCACCACAAACACTCAGGCCCCCATATTGGCCTGTCGGGAAGAGGATCCGGATGCGGGGGATCCCCACTGTGTAAGTGGAGCGAGCTGTGTGGGAGGGGCTCGGTCAGCGCTTGATAATTCTCAGGCTGGCTCTTAGAGGAGGAGCTGGACATTCTGAAAGGAAAGTGGGGAGGGAGCGAGATCAAGAAATAGAGGATGGAGCTCTAGCCCAGCACACACGCAGCTCCTCATTGTGGCTTGGGGTCCTGTGTGTTTGGGTCAGGTTTCTGCCATGTGTGTGAGAGCTGGGAACCCCAAATCCTAATTATACCCACCCAGCCCACACAGGGGTTCGTGTTCCGTGCATGTCACCTCAGCTTGTTAGCTTCTCAGAACAAAGCCCTGAGCAGCTGGGTTGAGTCAGGTGTGCTGGCCATGGAGAAAGACATGATTGGTGCTGTCTGGGGAGGGCTGACTTCATGCCTGGTAGAAACCTTGGAGGCACCCCAAGGGGCCATGGTAGGGGAGGAGGCGTGTGACTCAGGTCTCTGCTGGTGATTGACAAGTGACAGCAGTCTGAGCCGGTGACTGCCGTGGAGGCACAGGGGCTTTGGAAGCCCCTCCTAACCCTATAAAGGCCTCAAGGGATTCTCAGGGTGAGTCCAGGCCTGAACCTTGGGCTTCCCAATGGCCTCCTCCCGCAGGGCCTGGATACCTCCTGACCCCTCCTCCCCATCCTGATCTTGGAGCTGGCGGTCTGCTCTCTGTGAAGATGGAGAACAGCTGGGTCCAGAGCCCCCCAGGACCTGCATCCTGTCAGCCTGGCAGGCAGCCCCTCAGTCCCTCAGCCACTGGAGACACCAGAGGGGTCCCCCAACCCAGCTGGGGCCCTGAGGCTCAAGGTGAGGCCTGAGATTGGCTGCTCTGGTGGTCTTCCCCATGGGCTTGTCAGTCCCTGGCAAGGTTCCACTAACCCCAGGGAAGCAGCTCTCAGCAGGGAGCCGCCCCCTGGCCTTTCTTCCCAAGCAGTGAATCCCTTCATCCACAGCCTCCTCAGCCCAGGCCTTTGTCCAAGCCCCCGCTGCCTCGGGGCCTTCGTTTTGCAGTGATTCCTGGCCCTGAAAGCTACCCCTGCTGACATGTGGCCCTCCTCACTCCCCTCCTGTCTTCATGCCTTCCAGGGAGCAGGGTGGGGGGCGAGAGCCGATCAGTCTCCCACAGAAGGGTTTCCTGCCTGGCAGGTGCCAGAGCCTGGTACAGGACTCGTCACCCCTGTAGAAAGCACGTCGGGTAGAGCCAGCCAGGGGTCTGATGGGCAAGGCTGGAATGTGTGGGAGATGGTAACAGGGTGCTCTCTCCTGTTCCAGCTGCCAGTGCCTCAAGCTCACCGCTGGAAGCCCTGGAAGCCTGTCTGAAGGGCATTCCCCCAAATGGGTCGTCACCTTCCCAGCTGCCACCCACTTCTTGTTCCCAGAACCCCCAGCCAGGAGACTCTAGGTCTCAGAAGCCTGAACTGCAACCCCACAGATCACACAGTGAAGGTAGATTGTGGCCATGGGCGCGGGGTGGCATGTCCCTGAGCGTGGCAGCGGAGGCAGATGCTGAGGACTGTCGGGTCATTGTGTTCCCCGGCCTCCTGAGACACAGGCCCGTTCCCCCAGGCTGCCTTTCATACTCACTCCCAAACAGCCGCCCGCATGTGCTGAAAGCCAGTGCAGATCTTCCTGCCCTACTTCCTTCTCTCAGAACTCTCTCCAGTCACGAGACTCACTGTGGGGTTTCTGTGGGTCACGTGCTATGGGAGTTGAATCAGTGCCACAGGGAAACCCTAGTGGGAGATACTTTGGGGCAGGGTCTTCTGGTGCCCGTGCACCCCATGGCCCAGGAGTCTCTTCTCCAGTGAGCCTCCTGGTGACCACAACTGTGCTGTTCCCTACAGAAGCGACCAGAGAGCCTGTTCTGCCTCTGGGTCTGCAGAGCTGTGTGAGAGATGGCCCCAGCAGGCCCCTGGCCCCCCGAGGAACCCCCACCAGCTTCTCCTCATCCAGCAGCACCGACTGGGACCTGGATTTTGGGAGTCCTGTGGGGAACCAGGGGCAGCATCCTGGAAAAGGTGAGCTGGGCCAGCCCGAGGCTGGGGTTCATCCTGGGAGAGGACTCAAGGCCCCTTGCCCAGTCCCTCTGGCTTGACTGGGTCAGACCCCCATGCCCGTGCTGGGAGCAGAGCCAGGGATACTGAGGCAGGAGCAGATGCGGGACTTATCTTGGGTGGGTTGTGGGAGCCTAGGGTGGAGAGGGGGCTCCGTTTTAGTGACTTGTCTTAGAAGGGACAGGACAATGTCTAAGATTTCTTTTAAAATCTTTTTGGGCTGGGCACAGTGGCTCACGCCTGTACTCCCAGCACTTTGGGAGGCTGAGGCAGGAAGATCAGTTGAGGCCAGGAGTTTGAGACCAGCCTGGGCAACATAGTAAGACTCCGTCTATACAGAATTTTTTTTTTTTTTTTTTGAGACGAGTCTAACTCCTGTTGCCTAGGCTGGAGTGCAGTGGCACAATCTCGGCTCACTGCAACCTCCACCTCCTGGGTTCAAGCGATTCTCCTGCCACAGTCTCCCGAGTAGCTGGGGTTATAGGTGTCCGCCACCGTGCCCAGCTAATCTTTGTGTTTTTAGTAGAGAAGAAGTTTCGCCATGTTGGCCAGGCTGGTCTCGAACTCCTGACCACAGGCAATCTGCCCGCCTCAGCCTCCCAAAGTGCTGGGATTATGGGGATGAGCCACCGCGCCCAGCCTGTACAGAAGATTTAAAAAATTATCTGGGTGGAGTAGCACCTGTAGTCTGTAGTCCAGCTACTCAGGAGGCTGAGGCAGGGGATCACTTGAGCCCCAGCGTTTGAGGCTGCAGTGAGCTATGTTCACACCACTGCACTCCAGCATGGGTGACAGAGTGAGACCCCCATCTCAAAAATAAATACATAAAAATTTCCTTTTTGCATTGAATTCCTTACCCCAGCCACAAAGAATTGCCTGTAATATCAAACTGACCCCCAACTTAGGAAAACATACAGTGAGGTTCATGTCAGAAACATTTCAGCGTGTGCTTGGTGACCTGTGCCTCCCCGGCTCACTCCAGTCGAGTTGCTCCTGCAGACTTGGGGATCTTGCAGGACTCCAGCATCCCCTCTTGGCCTTTTTATTTCCCCCACCTGGTTAATCCGAGTCCTCTTGGTCTGTGTTGTCCTGCCGACACCACTCCCTCCGTGCTCACCTGTGTCCTGACTGCCAATGTATTTACTGAACAGGCCTCTCACAGCAGCCACAGCTCTGGCCAGGCCTGTGGGGCCTGTAGAACAGGCCTGGGGCCTGCCAGTGTCCACAGCAGCCTGAATTCCCAAGCCCCACTATGGGTTAGCCGCTTGGGTGTGGGGCTTTTCCCCTATAGTGCAACTGACTTCATAGGTAATATGATCACATAGCTTTGTTCAAAAGCTATAAAAGGTTATGTAGGGAAAATGAAGCCTTCGGCACTCCAGCCCCTCCTGCCACTGCTGTGAGTTCACTCCCCTCCTCCTCCTCACACAGAGGGCAGCATCTATACATGCCCCCTCCAGGCTGCCTTTGTCGTCAGCATTTGTCTTTGACCCCTTTCTATACTTTTCATGTTCCTTGGCCACTAGCACCAGTTTCTTCTTTTGGACAGCAGCGTGGTATTCGGTAGCATGCTTCATGTGTTCTGCCTGGGCAGACTTTGTTTACTAAGTAACCCAAACTGCAGGATATTTCACACTGCCTGTCAGAAGCTTCCAGCCAACTCCCGGCTCCCTCTGTTGCCCCAGAACTCAGCGAACGTGCTGTGGAGAAAATGCATGTGGGGGTCCTCTGGTTTCCAGCCCTTCCTGGTCTGGAAGGGCTGGTCTCTGCCCTTCCAGCCTGTGGACATTCAGAAGTTCTGAGGTTGCCCTCCCGCCCTGTGCCTGGGCCCAGAGTCGTCAGCAAATGCTGTCGGGAAAGAGAGTGGCAGCACTGTCTGCTTTATTAGGAAGGGCTCTCCTCACTCTAGAGTTTCAGTCCATCTAGTTCCTGTTACTCGCACAGCTGTCACTGGAAATAGGATGTTTGCAGTGTGTTTAGTTCTTTCCTAGTTGAAATTGCATGCATGTTGGCCCGCCATGGCCCAGAGGCCAGGGGGCCTGTGTTGTTGCCCTGCTGTGAGTGGTGAAGGAAGTCTTAGCACATTCCATCTGTGGGACCATCCCCTGTGCTGGGGACACAGGATGTGTCATCCCTCACGGTGGTGGCAGCTGGGTGTGCTGAGGAGGACTAGAGCCCACACCTGTGGCCAACGCCCTCATGACAGCCGCAGGCCAGGCTTCTATGTGGGTGGCCAGGACAGGCCAGGCTTCTTCCACGGCAGCCAAAGCAGGGCCGCGCCAGAGCCAGGACTGACACGTCCAGTGCTCTGTGCCCAGCACCCCTGTGACCCCCCTTCCCTGGACACAGCAGAAGACAGGGGGCTTCTGCAGTTTGCAGAGATTGAGCTACAGTCCCCCTCATCTGTGAATGTTTGATCTTCACAGGAAGCCCACCAGGAAGCTCCCCACTGCAGGGTCTGGAGAATTGTCTCAAGGAGATACCTGTGCCTGTGCTGCGGCCTGCCTGGCCCTGCTCCTCAGCAGCAGACAGGGGACCGAGGAGAGCAGAGCCCAGGAACTGGACAGCAGACAAGGAAGGTAATAGTGGCTGCCGGGGCCCTGGGTGTAGACAGGGCTGCTCTGAGGATGCCCTAGGCGCTGCACCTGTGGGCTCAGATCTGCTCCTGAGCCAACATGGTGCTCTGGAAACAGACCTGGGCAGAGCCTTGTTGGAGGCCAGAAAGCCAGATAGTCTGCAGCACACACGTGTAGACCTGCTGGCACCTTAGTGCCACTGTCTGCGGTTCCACCATCCCAGCTGGAGCTGGCTCCTTGTGGCTGGGTGTCCTTGTCCCGGCCGTGCCAGCCCCACGAGCCTTGGTGTCTGGGCACCAGTCTCCAAGCCCAGGGGTCCACGCAGCTGGGTCTGGGAATAGAGATGTTCTGGAGGGTTCAGGCGCTCCCTGGAACATGACAGATGGGTGTTTCCCACACCTGATGCTGGTGTGCCTGAGAGCCCAGCAATGGCAGAAACTGTTCCCTGTCCCTTCTTCTGTGGCAGCACGAGGCCCCGTGGGGCTGACAGGCCTTCTGATTTCTCATTAAAACAGGACTGAGGGCTGAGGCCTGCGAGTCAGCCCGTCTCGGGCAGGGTAGGGGAGAAGCGCCCACCCGGAGCCTCCATCTGGTCAGCCCACAGGTGTTCACCTCCAGCTGCGTCCCCGCCTGCCACCAGCGGGGGTTCAAAGACCCTGGGGCCACCAGGCCAGGAGTGTGGAGGTGGCTCCCAGAGGGTGAGCTGGCACCTGCCCTCGGTACTGACAGCCCCACTTCAGTTAAAGTGTTTGACAAGGAAATAGACTTCCCTCTCTGTCCCTCTGTTTCTTCCCCATCTCTCATCCTTTCCCCAGAGGACAGAAGCTGGTGCCAAACAGAAACTGAGGTTCGCTAAACAAGAAGATAAAGTGTCACAAAGTGCTGACAAGGAGCGGGGTCGGGAAGATCATTGTTTGTGTCCATCCATTGGGTTTCTCCAGTGGAGAAGCTTCTTGAGGGGGCTCCCGCCGTCCACTGCTGCTGCTTGGTTTAACTTCCAGCAGAATTCCTTCCTAGATCTGCTGCAGGGCCTGCTGGGATGCCTTTGCTGAATAAATGCGGTTTTGCTGACCCTCCCATCAGACGAGGATGGGCCCTAACTGAGCCCCACCCTTGGGCTGCTGGCCCCTGTGAGATACTGGGGTGCAGGGATGGCACCTGCCTGGTGGGAGAAGCCGCCTGGCCTGTGAGACCTAGGCCTGGCTAGAACCTGACTGCTAATGGCTTCCAAGGACTGGAGACTTCCAGAAAGTTCCCCAGCAGACTTTCCAAAGCTGCTGGGGTCCTGGCCAGGCTCTGGCTTCACTTTTGTCCTCTTTCTCTGGCAAGAGAGGCAGCCATTTAGGGTCCACTAGAACGCATGCTGATCGTGGGCTGAGCTGAAAAGGGGACCGGTTCTGTGTGCCCAGACACTAAGGCAGAGACCTGGCTCTCTTCAGGCTGATGACAGAGCACTCTCTGGTCCCCTGCCCAGGGTCTGCCCCCAAGCCCTCCCCGCTGCACTGCCTGGAGAGCGCCCTGAGGGGGATCTTGCCTGTAAGGCCCTTGCGCTTCGCCTGCGTGGGAGGCCCCAGCCCCAGCCCCAGCCCCGGCTCCAGCTCGAGCTTCAGCGGCTCTGAAGGAGAAGACCCGAGGCCAGAGCCTGATCTCTGGAAGCCGCTCCCCCAGGGTGAGCCTGTGCGGAGAGGGAGGATAGCGGGATGTGTGCCAGGGCGCCAGTCACCACTCTGATGCCAGCTTTGTTTGTGACGTTAGAGAGGGACCGCCTTCCCAGCTGTAAGCCTCCTGTCCCTCTGTCCCCATGTCCTGGTGGGACCCCTGCTGGCAGCAGTGGCGGCAGCCCTGGTGAAGACCCCAGGAGAACAGAGCCCAGGTACTGCAGCGGCCTCGGTGCAGGTGAGCCTGGGGTCTCCTGAGGGGGCGCCCATGCGTTCCCCAGAGGACCAGGAGTCCAGACTGGATCCTTTGAGTCCTGCCTGTCGCTTTGCCTGGCTCTTGCCAGGGAGTCCTGCACATTGGCCGTGCTTTAGTTCCCTGTAAGGTGAGCTGTGTCCGAGAAGGAGGGCGGGGCTGCTGGGGGTGCTGGTGAGCAGCTGCAGGGAGGTCTGAGCCACTCACTTGATGCCACGTACACGGTGTTTGCGCTTGCTAATATACACGTGTGCATGTAGACAGATGTGGATGTATTTATACAATAATAGCGTATGCTTTTAAAACTTGGCAATCAATAACAAAAGTCTCAAAAGTGAGATTTCCCCAGCTGGGGGTACTTCTTGGAGAGTGTCCCATTAGGAAAGCTAGAATGCTGCCTATTGCCCCAGGCCACCTTGCTTCTCAATCTCACTGTGACCCACTGTTTGCTCCTAGCAGAAAAAGCAGATGGGACAGGAGACAGGTCCCAGTTGCCTGGGAGAAAAGAGAGTTTAGAGAGTACCTGCTGTCCTGGCCCCCTCAGGAGTGCTGGAGGACGAGGACGAGGAGGGAGAAGCAGTGGTAGAAGGAGGGAGAAGCAGGGGAGAAGGAGGAAGAGGCCAGAAATGGTCAGGGGAGGGAGCTCTCCCCAACTCCTGCAGCTGGCTCCATTTACAGGCATTGGCCCTGGTCTGTGTAGACCCAGGCTGCACCACATTCTTCACTCCGCAGTGGGCCTAGTGGAAAATGGCAGAGTGGGCTGGGTGTGGACCACAGGATGCCCCAGCACGCCCTTGGAAGTCTCACTGGGGCAGGACCCGCAGATGAGAGTCCTTTTTCCCAGCTGCCTCCCCAGCCGCCTCCTCCTGCCGGAGCCCCCTGCATACAGGGCAGGAACACCACACACACACGCACCGCGGCGGGCCCTGCCACCAGAATTAGGCTCCCTCATGGGCCAAGTTTCCGTCTTCTATCTCATTTAATCATTGTTTAAAAGTTGAGAGTTTGATATTGTTTTAGGGTATGTCAGAATGGCTCTGGCCAAACGATCGTCTCCCTGCCCCAAGGTCTCTGTGCTCTTTCTATAGGTACAGCTCAGGATCCCTGCCCGGTTTCTCAGCTGGAGAAAAGGCCCAGGGTTAGTGAAGCATCCAGAGGCCTGGAGCTTGGACATGGAAGACCCAGAGTTGCAGGTGAACTGGTGGCTTCCCCCATTCCCTCTGCACGGGCCAG
The DNA here is from genome assembly GCF_000001405.40 of Homo sapiens. Taxonomy (NCBI): domain Eukaryota; kingdom Metazoa; phylum Chordata; class Mammalia; order Primates; family Hominidae; genus Homo; species Homo sapiens. Next base: position 149,731,817 of record NC_000007.14, read on the forward strand.
GACCCAGAGCCCCAGCTTGGGGAAAACAGCCTTCCAGGGTCAGTGTTTGAGTGATGGGTAGGAAGTCTCACCTGTAATGCACTTCAGGTTGCATATTTCCTTTCAGTGTTTTATCACAGAAGCAGTTGGGATTTTCATAAAAGCAGACACACCTTTTAGAGGTGGAAATTGAGAAGTGAAGGATCAAAGTTTGGGGCTTGAGGGGACTTTAGAGAATAGGTGAGGAAACTGAGGCTAGGATGACCTGGCCATGGTCACTGTGAGAGGGTTGGCTCCATGTCACACACGTGCCCCTACGGACTCATGGTGGAGACATGCAGGGGGCCTGGCACCTAGTGCCCTGGGTCACTTGGGGACAGCCCCACACCAGGAACTTTGAGTGTGGCCTGCGGCAGGTTCTCTTACTGGCTCAGGGTGTTGGCTTCTGTCCAGGCGCCACCACTTTGCTGTGAGCTCTGAGCTGCCTGGGGCCACCGAGCCTTGCCTGTCCTCTGTAGAAGTCCTAGCTGGGGTCTCCAGGCCGAGATCCTTATTGATGAACTTGACCAAACAGCGGTTGGGTCCTTTAGCTACTCCAGTCTTCACTTTTTCCTCGGTTTAAAGCCCTGGAGGTGCCGAAAAGAGCAGGGCAGAGCCACAGCTGGGGGCCCAGAGAAACAGGGAAGAAACCATCTCTGCGCCCGGCCTGGGGCTGAACAGGTTAGGAATGGCAGGTGCCTGGCCAAGCCTTTCCTGTGGTTTGCCCAGGGTTGGGACCAATTCCAAGGGAATTTAGGGCGAAGGATTAGGTGATCTTTTTTTAAAAAAAACAAAAAGCTTATGACTCCTATGAATCTGTAACTTCTCAATAGGGAGAGTAAAAGCAGAAGGGGGTGGGAACCCTTGTGGTTTGCCTGTAACGAAGAGCACTGAGTTCTGGAGTGGCCCCAGGGTCACCCCACAAAAAATGCGCAGAAGGCCCTTGGCTTGCCTGGCCCTCCTGGCCCATCTCCTGGTGCTCCCACGGCCTTGGCCTCATGCTGTCTCGGGGGCTCTGGACCCTTCTCACTGACTCCTAGGGCAGGGTGCCATTTGGTCTCATCAACAACACAAAGACCCACCGATTCCTAGAAGGTGGGAAGACCGCAGTTTAGGAAAGCCTGGTTACCACGGAAACCCAACCTGTGGTTGATCCTGCCCATCAGTTTGGGGAACAGCCAGGAGACATAGCCAGTTTTCATGCCATAAGCATTGGCATCTGCGTTCTCAGGCCTCACCCACCTTCCTTCCTTTCTGGAAGCTGGGCCTTGGAGGAGGCAGAGTACTGAGCGCCCTTGGTTCATGGGACCTCTGGGGAGAGAAAGGTCCTTACAAACCAGGAACTCTGACCGGTCCTTGCTCTGGTTTTAGCCAAGACCCATGAGAGGCTGCTCCCCCAGGGCCCGCCTGAGCTGCCCAGTGAGTCTCCCCCTCCGGAGCTGCCCCCTCCGGAAGCTGCGCCTCCTGTGTTGCCAGCCTCCTCCCTGCAGCCGCCATGCCACTGTGGGAAGCCCCTGCAGCAGGAGCTGCACAGCCTCGGTGCTGCCCTTGCGGAGAAGCTGGATCGGCTCGCCACAGCGCTGGCAGGCCTGGCTCAGGAAGTGGCCACCATGAGGACCCAGGTGAATCGGCTGGGGAGGCGCCCCCAAGGCCCTGGGCCAATGGGCCAAGCTTCCTGGATGTGGACCCTCCCACGGGGACCTCGCTGGGCTCATGGCCCTGGTCACAGACATCTGCCCTACTGGAGGCAGAAGGGACCCACGAGGCCTAAACCAAAGATCCTGCGTGGCCAGGGAGAGAGCTGCAGGGCTGGTGACCTGCAAGGACTCTCCAGAGGGACCGCTCGCCGGGCACGTCCGCTGCCTCCAGACGCTCCCCCGGCAGAACCTCCTGGGCTCCACTGCAGCTCTTCCCAGCAGCTGCTGTCCTCTACACCCAGCTGCCATGCTGCGCCGCCTGCACACCCCCTCCTCGCACATACCGGGGGCCACCAGAGCCCCCTTCCCCCTTTAGTGCCTGCTGCCTTACCCCTGCAGGGAGCCTCTCCTCCTGCAGCCAGTGCAGATGCAGACGTGCCGACCTCAGGAGTGGCACCAGACGGGATCCCAGAGCGGCCCAAGGAGCCGAGCAGCCTGCTGGGAGGAGTGCAGAGGGCCCTCCAGGAAGAACTGTGGGGTGGGGAGCACAGGGACCCGAGATGGGGGGCGCATTGATGGCATTCCTCTTCTCCACATCTGCTCGTTCTTGCCGAGGGTGCAGTGGTGGCGTGGAAGCCCTGTCACCCCACCCCAGGCCACCCTCTCCCAGAGGACGCCATCTCCCTTACTGTTGCTGGGAGCCTCGCCCTTTGTCCCAACTGGGTAGAGCCCCCAGGTGCTGTTTGCTCAGGAGGCTGCTGTGGGGGTGCCTTCCTCAGCCTCTGGCCCTCTTGGCTCAGATTCAATCAAATGTTGCTTCCCTCTCCTGTCTTTCCCACTGGAGCCGCCCAAGCTTGTAGGTGGGTGGTGTGCATAGGCCACGTGTGCCCCACATATGCAGGGGGTGCCCCACACAGCTAGAGCGGCCAGGAGAGCGCCTCCTAACCACCAGCCGTTCCTGATCTCAGGAGCCTTGAAGGGCTGGGCTCTTGCCTTCCTGGAGTAAATATTGGCACAGATTTCATTTGAGAGAACTCAGCCCCCTGGTCTAAGCTGGACTTACCTCTGTGGATTCTGAAATTAAAGAAGTGAGTTGCTAAGGAAGGCCCTGACTCCTATAGAAGGGAGGTCCATGTGGGCCCACGCTGGGGCGGGGCTGGTTGTGCCACCAGCACGCTGCCTCGTCTCCCAGACATCCTCGAGAACATTCAGGAGTGTGCCAGGAAGGGTGGGGCAATTCCCACAGGACTCCTGGGGCACACTCTGAGTCCCCTGGGGCTGCCTCACAGAGGAACCCTGCCTGGGCAGCTTCAACAGCAGCACATATTGTCTCTGTCCTGGAGGCCAGAAGTCTACAATCCAGGTGTCAGGTTCAGTTCCTGCTTTGGGCTGGGAGGGAGGATCGGTCCCGGACCTCTCCCCTTGACCTGTAGATGGCTGTCTTCCTGTTCAGATGGTGTTTTCTACACAGCTGTCTCCAGATTTCCCCTTCATATCAGGGCAGCAGTTGTATGGGGTTATGACCCACCCTAATGACTTCATTTTAACCTGATTACCTCTCTAAACACCCCCTCTCCAAGTGAGGTCACATTTGGAGGTACTGGAGGTTAGGCCTTCACCATACACATTTGGGGAGGGGCACAGTTCAGCCTGTAACACACCAAACGGGCTGGGCCAGTCTTCCTGGTTTTGTCTTGGGAAAAGACATGACCAGGTATCACTAGCCCACTTCTGTCCTGGTTACCGGAATGTGCCTGCTCCCAGCCCGCTCAGCTGGCGCTTGGCAATGCGTTGGAACCAGCCTGCCTGTCATTCCCTTGCATCATCTTCCCAAGAGGCAGAATGCAACCTGTGTGCCCCCAAATCCCTTATTTGACCTGAGGTGGTTTCAGGACCTGTATGTGCACCTGTTGACTGGCAGGGCCAGCCTGGTGTGGACTGGCAGGGCCAGCCTGGTGTGGACTGGCACACTTGGCCCTGTCCTCAGGTCCCTGAGGAGCCTGGGACACCAGCACTGTGGCCTGGGGCAATGCTGGCTGCCCACCATGACTACAGGAGCAGTGCCTTGTGGCTGCAGCGCCCAGTGTGTCCCTCAAGTCAGGGTCACTGGGGACACACTCGGGGCCTAAGTGCCCTGCAGCTGAGCTTGGGAGCTGAAGCCCTTGCTCTTTGCCACCCTGTAGAAGCAGCAGGGCAAGGACACCTGTCAGAGGGGAATGCCCGCAACAGACTGAACATCACAAAGGGATGGGAAGATGCTTTCAGGACTAGAGTGAGCCCCGAGGTGACTGTCTGGAAACAGATCCTAAGACCATACAAGTAGGATGTTTGTTGAAATACGGAGGCTGTTCGCTCACAGCCGTGCTTGCACAGAATCAGGAAGGGAAAGTTTCTAGGTTGCTCCTGCCTGAGGAGCTCTCCTTCTAATAAGCAGGGAGCAGTGCCGGGCACGTTTCAGAGCCACGGCAAGGGGTGGGACACAGTTTCAGAGGGGGGTTGAGAAGCGAAACTGCCCCTGCCCTGACTCTGGCTGTGAGGAGAGGACTCTTGCCCACCCCTGCTGCAGCTGGTGCAGTCCCATCGTGCCTGCCTGTCCTCCCATTCTCCTTTCCCTTCTAAGCAGGGGTCACTGGGCTGTCGACTCAATGGGAGGGGGGGTCACCTTACACTTCTGTGTGGCACATTAAGGTGGTTTTGCTTTGCTGGCTTCCGAAACAGCCACCACGCAAACCCTAGTTGACAGGCACGACTGAACAAATGAGCATGGTGGCTGTAAGTGACTGTCACAGTTAGGCAGCCTTCAACCAGCAGAGCTAGGAAGAGAGCTCGAGCCCTCACCAGTGCCGCCAGCACTCGGCGCATCCTCACCCTGGGCACAGATGCCCCCTCCCAGCCTTTGCCTGCTGGGACAGACCAGGGTATTCAGGACTGAGCCTGGTCTAGGTGGTCCAGACCCAGTTGGACCATATAATAAGTTTAAAGTTGTTTTAAGAATGTGGATTCTAAGTAATAAGTGGTAAGAAGTTCCATGGTCTGCAGCTGCGTTCCTCCTGCAGAAGCAGTTCCCTAGGTCTAGGTCTCCAGGACCTGTCCACAGTCACTGAAACGCCTTCTAGAATTGATCTAGTGGAAAATCTAGATGCAGTTTAGGTCTTTGGCACTGTGCCCATCTCCTTTAAGAACTGTGCAGTGTGGCTTGGAAGAGGAAATGTGGTCCCTTTGATGGGAGAAACTGAAGGACCTTTTTGAACTCAAAGGAGCTCCAGGGTTTGGAATTGGGGGCAGAGAAGGCTCCAGGCTGCTCATTCCATCCTGGGTGAGCCGAACGGGTCCTGGCTGATCTGAGTGCGACCTTCCCAGTCTGCCAGCCAGAGTCCCCCAGCAGGCAGGAACATGTGAAGGTTCCGCTTCAAAATATGAATGAATGGGCTCCTCGTGCCCCTATTATTTTCTGGCCACCCCCAGGGGTCCTGATGGAAGGGAGGCTGGCCTGCGGGGTGCAAGAACCACGATTCACTGCTCCCCGCTGAAGGTGCTTGGTCAAGAGCAGCAGGCATGCTGTTAACCTTTGTGCGGGTTTGTGTTTTGGATGTGGCTCCTATGCACAACCTATGGATTTTATCTCATAAACCATCTTGACAGATTTTGCTCGTCAACTGGGAGCCCTTAATCCATTTAAATGTAATTGACTGACTGATTTATTGAGGCTTTAACAGACTTTCTTACTTTGTGCTTTTTGTTTGTCCCACCTCTTCCGAGGGGGCTTCTCTTCCCTGCCTTATTTTGTATTAACACTGTTGTGGGTTAAAAAAAAAATCCATTTTTTCCTCTGCTGGCCTCAAAATGTAAAGAACTAAAAGGAGAAACACCCAAATTCACAATCATATTTGGGAGGTTTTAGCATATCTTTCTCTGAAAATGATGGAACAAATTGGGAGGGATGTAGAAGATTCGAACAAACTCCTTAACAAAATTGGCCTGATTGAGGCCCGTATAGGACAGTACACCATGGGGCCGGGTGCGGTGGCTCACACATGTAATCCCAGCACTTTGGGAGGCCGAGGCGGATGGATCACTTGAGGCCAGGAGTTCCAGACCAGCCTGGCCAACACAGTGAAACTCTGTCTCTACAAAAAATACAAAAATTAGCTGGGCATGGTAGCATGCACCTGTAATCCCAGCTACTTGGGAGGCTGAGACACGAGAATCGCTTGAACCCGGGAGGCAGAGGTTGCAGTGAGCTGAGATCATGCAACTGCACTGCAGCCTGTGTAAAGAGTGAAACTCCATCTCAAACAAGCAAACAAAAACTGTGTGCCATGGGACTGCTTAATATACATTCTCTTCAAGCATACACAGGACATTTACAAAAATTGACCATATATTAAGCCCTACAGTAAGTGTAAATAAATTTAAAATATTGAAATTATATAGGGTATGTTCTCTGACAATACTTTTACCTTTTAAGCTAGAATTAAATAATAACCAGAAATTCTTATATATTCAAAAATGAGAATTATGCTGCTAAAATAACCCATGTGTCAATGAAGAAATCATAATGGAAATTAAAAATGTTTCCCACCATGAAGGAAGTACCACAGGCCAGGTGTGGTGGCTCACGGCTGTTGTCCCAAAACTTTGGGAGGCTGAGGCAGGCAGATCACTTGAGTCCAGGAGTTCGAGACTAGCCCGGGCAACATGGTAAAACCCCATCTCTACTTAAAAAAAAAAAAAAAAAAAATATATATATATATATATATATATATATATATACACATACATACACATACACACAAACACACACACACACACACACACAGACAAAAATTAGCCAGGTGTGGTGGCATGTGCCTTTAGTCACAGCTACACAGGAGGCTGAGGTGGGAGAATCACTTGAGCCTAGGAGGTGGAGGTTGCAGTGAGCCGAGATCGTGCCACTGCACTCCAGCCTGGGTGACAGAGTGAAACCCCGTCTCAAAAAAAAGAAAACAAGGAAGGAAGGAGAGGAGAGGAAAGGAAAGGAACCATATCAAAATGTGTAGCATAAAGCAATATCAGTACTTAGAAATGTATAGACATAAGTGAGTATGTGGAAAAGGAAGGACAGAATTCACAAGGAGAAACAGAACAGCAAAGGAAATCCAAAGAAAAGTTAAAAAGGGCACACAAATATAAGAGCAGAAATTACTGAAATAGCATACATATAAATGATATAATCAACAAAGCCAAAAATCATTTCTTTACAAAGCTAATAACATTGACTACTAGCCTGTGATGAAATCATCAATGAAAAAAGAAAGCACAAATAACCAGTCTCAGAATGAAAAAGGTGACATTACTGCAGATGCCGCAGGCTATAGAAAGACAATAAGATGATATTATAAGCAACTTTTTGCCAAAAGTTTGAAAATTCAATGAAAATAACTCCCATAAGAATGCAACTTAGACTCAAAAACAAAACAAAACAAAACCTGAATAGTCCCATACCATTGAAAAAAAAATGCATTAGTGATCAAACATCTTACAAAAGAAACTGTAGGGCCAGGTACTGTGGCTCAGGCCTGTAATCCCAGCACTTTGGGAGGCCAAGGCAGGCAGATGGCCTGAGGTCAGAAGTTCAAGACCGTCCTGGGCAACATGATGAAACCCTGTCTCTACTAAAAAATACAAAAAATTAGCCAGGTGTGGTGGCGTACGCCTGTAATCCCAGCTACCTGGGAGGCTGAGGCAGGATAACCACTTGAACCCGGGAGGTGGAGGTTGCAGTGAGCCAAGATCACGTCCCTGCACTCCAGCCTGGGCAACAAGAGAAAACTCCATCTAAAAAAGAAAAAAGAAAAGAAACTGTAGGCCCAAAAGGCCTCACTAGTAAGTTCTATCTCACATTTAAAAAGGAAATTATTTCAATAATATACAAACTATTCCAGAGAATGGAAAAATATGGGACACTCTCTGACTCGTTTTACGAGACTGGCATAATCTTGAAATTTCCAAAACTTGAGGACAGTACAAGAGAACAAAATTACAGGCTAATCTCAAAAAATGTACATAGGAAAAATACTCAACAAAATATTAGCCAAAGAGAATCTAGCAATACACAAAATGTTTTACTGAGTAAAACATCATTACCCAGTTGGCTTCATCTTGTCGATCAAGAATGGTTTCAACGTTTGAAAATCACCAGTGGTAACCCACAATAATAGATTAAAGGGGAAAAGTCACATGATCATCTCAATAGCTGCAGAAAGATCACTTGATAAGAGCCAGCACCCATCAATATTCCAAGTGAACTGGGATGAGAAAGGAAATTTCTTAATTTGATGAGGATTATATACCAAAAAAAAGATGATAGCTGTATTAGCCTATTTTCATGGTGCTAATAAAGACAGACCCAAGACTGAGTAATTTATAAAGAAAAGAGGTTTAATGGACTCACAGTTCCACGTGGCTGAGGAGGCCTCACAATCATGGCGGAAGGTGAAGAAGGAACAAAGGCATGTCTTACATGGTGGCAGGCAAGAGACTGTAGGGGAACTGCCCTCTGTAAAACCATCAGATCTCATGAGACTTATTCACTATCATGAGAAAAGCAAGGGAAAAACCCACCCCCATGATTCAGTTACCTCCAACTGAGTCCCTTCCATAATGTGGGGATTATGGGAGCTACAATTCAAGATGAGATTTGGGTGGGGACACAGCCAAACCATATCAATAGCTAATATGCTTAATGGTGACATATTGAAGTGTTAAAAACCAGTATACCAAAACTAAGTTATATTTACATATACCCACAGCCAACAGTTAGAAAGTATTACTTTAAAGATTTTATTTGTAGTAACAAAAAACTCAAGAGCCCAGGAATCAATCTAAAAAAGATTTATGTGGAGAGAACTATTGAGCACTTTTTGTGATTTCCTTGAAGCACAGAAATTAAGAAACTTGCTCAAAGCTACACAGTTGCTAGGTGAGTTTGAGCTGGGATTCTCTGGCTTCAGAGCTAAGGAAGGCCCCAAAACATGCAGGGCGAGAGGCACACTGAACTCTGGACCTTCACATTAGATTCGTCAGTGTCTGAGGCAAATCAGGGAGGAAGAAATAGATTGTTATAAAAATTAGTAATCTGCAGCATCTATTTGTGTGTTACTTTGTTGAATGTCTGCCCCCCACACCCACCAGCCCCCAACTGTAAGCTCTGTGGATGAGGCAAATACATATGGTATATCTGGCATCAACACTGGATCAGCTACATAGTGGGGGTTCAATAAACCTGGATTGAATCTCTGAATAACACTCTTTTTTGGGTTTAAGACAGAGAGTGGGCTGGGCGCGGTGGGTCACACCTGTAATCTCAGCACTTTGGAAGGCTGAGGTGGGTGGATCACTTGAGGCCAGGATCGAGAGCAGCCTGGCCAACATGGTGAAACCCCATCTCTACTAAAAATACAAAAAATTAGCTGGGCATGGTGGTGTGCATCTGTAATCCCAGCTACTTGGGAGATTGAGGCAGGAGAATCGCTTGAACCTAGGAGGTGGAGGTTGCAGCAAGCTGTGATTGTGCCACTGCACTCCAGCCCAGGCGACAGAGTGTGACTCTGTCTCAAAAAAAAAAAAAAGAAAAAAAAGGCAGTGAAGGCGTTGGAATAAATGCATCGAAATTTTCCAAGTGTTTATTATTGGACCCTTGGATTCTAGTAGAAACCATGAGCTGGTACCATCAACACCTCAGGCTCAGCACCATGCTTCAGTTTCCCGTGTTAACAGGCCAGTCACACTTTGTTACAGAAGACAGGGCATTGCCCTAGGGCATCTCTGTTGACCCTGCATGTCCTCAGACACTCCTTCATCCCCTCCATTTAAAATTTTTAAAAATGATTCTGGCTTGGTGGTAATCTGGACATGGATCTTTAAGATGATGGAGAAGTTCATAGAGCAACAGTTCTCTTCCCTGAGTGCAAACTGGGGTCACTTGAGAGAGATTTAAAAAATCAGGTTTAGGCCCCACCTGTACAGATTCTCATTCATGGAGAATGAGATGATTGATAGATGGAGTTGGCATCTATCATCTATCTAGCCATATGTATGCGTGTATAAACTTTTTATTAAAATACAATATACAAAAACGTACACATTCAATTGGTATATTTATAAATTGCTGGAGATTCTGCCATGCAGCCCGTATTGAGAACCATTCTTGTTGGCAAAACTGTAGAACAATCAGAGTTTACCACTGCTGCCTCCCAGCCATTCCCCCTGCTAACCACAGAGAACTTCTGCATCTGTCTGCCTTCCACAGGCAGCATGCGTTTATTGCATGCCAGATTTCAGAGTGCCAGGAGCCCGGGAGCAGCCACTGTACGTCTCAGCAGGCTGGTGGCACTGCATTAGGCGGCCGCAGTTCGCCAGAACAGTGGGCCAGGCAGGGACCACAGGCCCCCAAAGATAAGCGGGCGGAGGTCTCCAGAAGGAGCTGTGAGTGTGTGCAAGCCCCGCCACAGTCCCGGGTCGCAGCTGAGAATAATCGAGCCAGACTTTCCTTTACCTCCCCTCCCCACCAATAATGACACATCTGCTCTGAGTCCCAGTACCTTGGGAAATTCTCAACTAGGAAACTAAGTAAATTAATCCATTCTCTTACCTCCTCCCAGGAAATAATTTGTATTTTGCCAGAAACTTTCAATCGACTTTGAGGCTGCTGTGAGCAGAACAGGAAGCTGTTCTGAATCTGGAATGCCTTTGCTCCTCCATCAAACCACACTGAGACCACCTGCTCTGCCAGACCTCGGGCAGAGAGGCAGGAACCTGCGTTTCTGGAATCCCTATTTCGGAGGGGAGAGCTGGTCAAGGAAAGGGGCTTCCGTTCCAGCGCCTCGGCGCCATCTGCTGGGAAAGAGAGGCAATGACAATTCAGGGCTGCAACTGGTCCCCGTAGGGGGCTGAAGGGAAAACAGAAGTCGTGAAGCCCACCTTCCTACTCCCGAACATTACCTTAAGGGCTTCCTCAGAGATCCCACGCTGCCTTGTATATGAAGCCACCTTGTGTGTATTACTGGACAGAGGGTGAAGAGACGCCTTGCTACCAGCTCTCTTTCTACAGCAGAGCTTGGTTCTGCAGTCACCATGCTGGAAGGTGGGGGAAGGGCAGCCTCCTTCGGAGGTTCCCCACTGCCGAGAGAATCAGGTGTGTGCCTAATCCTGGCACAGGCTTCCAGAGAGGCAGCCACGAGCAGCGGTGCTGGGTTCAGATGAGGACATCACCTGTGGGGCTGTGGAAGGGACTCCTACTTGGAGGGAGTGAATGATGAGAGCCAGATGAACTTTAACATCACGTCCCAATTTAGGATTTCATATACCTGTCAGGTCTGATGTGAGATTTTTTTTTTTTGAGACAGGGTCTCACTCTGTCACCCACGCTGGAGTGCAGTGACATGGTCATACCTCACTGCAGCCTGGAACTCCTGGGTTCAAGCAATCCTCCCACCTCAGCCTCCCAAGTAGGTGGGACTACAGGTGTGCACCACCACGCACAGCCGGGTTTTTTTTTTTTTTTTTTTTTTTTTAAAGAGACAGGGTCTTGCTATGTTGCTCAGGTCTGTCTCAAACTTCTGGGCTCAAGTGATCCTTCCACGCTGGCCTCCCAAAGTGCTGGGATTACAGGTGTGAGCCATCATGCCTGGCCAAGATGAATTTGTACCTTGAAAATATTGTGGCCAGGCGCGGTGGCTCATCCTGTAATCACAGCACTTTGGGAAGACAAAGCGGGCAGATCACTTGAGGTCAGGAGTTCAAGACCAGCCTGGTCAACTTGGTGAAACCCCGTCTCTACTAAAAATACAAAAATTAGGTGGGCGTGGCGGCACATGCCTGTAATCCCAGCTACTTGGGAGGCTGAAGCAGGAGAATCACTTAAACCCGGGAGGTGGAGGTTGCAGTGAGCCGAGATCGCGCCATTGCACTCCAGCCTGGGCAACAAGAGCGAAACTCCGTCACAAAAAAAAAAAAGAAAAGAAAAAAAAGAAAGAAAATATCGTTTGAATGTGTGGCTCAAATAAGACCATTGAAAGCATAATTGTAAAATGTTGAAGTTTTGTGCCAATGTGTGCAAATATTTGGAGAGAGAGACCACATTCTCATTTAGACTCTTAAAGCAAACCATGTATTTTCCAGGAATGTTTCCTTGACATTGGCTTGACTTCGTGCCAGATCCCTTACTTCTCCCTGGCAGTGGCGAGTCCCTAACTTGACCCAACATTGCCTGAGCTGTTCTGTTTACTAACTACAGCAACAGCAACTAACACTTACTGAGAATTTATTATATGCTAATCACAAGAATGACATTTAATAAGGACCTGTGTTGGAAAGATTTGAGAACAGTCCTGCCCTTGACCACTTTTATAAATTAAGGTTTAGTGTTTTTCAACTGACTTTAGCTAATATTTACATCCAGAATGTGCCAGGCACTATGCCATATTATTTCATTATTATGCATTATTTCACTTTATTCTAGCACCAACCAAAGGAAGTATAATTTTATCTTGATTTTGCAGAGGAGGAAATTGAAGCTTAGATCAGTCAGTCAACTACTCAACATGGTGAGGGGGAGGGATGGTAGACAAGTCGCCCCTGAGCATCCTGCTGGTCTCTCTAGCTATAATATGTACTTGTTTTCCTCAGAATCTCTTACAGTCTTACAATGTCTGAGTTGGTGCATGTTGCAACTTTGTATAAGAATAAATGCAGACCCAGAGTCTAGGCAGTAAAAACATATATCATTGACCCAATAACTTTTTCCCATAAAAACTTCTGACACCCCACTCTTTCCCAGCATTGCACCCTGGATTTTATTGGCAGAGATTTACAGTAGCTTCCTAGGCTGGCTTGTGTGCACGTGGTCAGCTGAGAGCCAGATCTGGGCCTTCTCTATTGCTGCTCATCTCCCTGGCATGAGTGAGGGACTCGATGAGAGAAACATCTAATGGGGTGCACCAGAGAACTCACACTCTTGGCCCATCTCCTACTTCCCACCCGAATTCAACTGTCGACCCATTTCTGAGAGACATGTGACCAGAATTTCTTCAGGCAGGAAAGCTGACATGGAAACATGAACGGGTGGGGAGAAAGTAAGAGGGACACGGCCCAACCTGCAGATCTCCCTGTCTGGGCACCTGTAGTGAAGACACCAGGAGCTGGGTCCCTCACCTGGAAGAAACCATGCCTGCAGCCCTTCTCTCCTCCAGGATCTGAAAGCAAGGTGCCAGCTGGGCCTGGTGACTCAAGCCTGTAATCCTAGCACTTTGGGAGGCTGAGGCAGGAGCATTGCTTGAGGACAGAAGTTCGAGACCAACCTGGGCAACATAGCAAGCCCCCATCTCTACAAAAAAAAATTAAAAATAAAAGCAAGGTGCAGAAGTAACCAAAACCCCTTGTCACCCCATCCACCTCGTGGCAGTCCTGAGACAAGGATCTAAGAAAGGAAAGTAAGTTTACATGAAAGGATAATTTGGAGAATGTCCACTATTTACATGGGCCCTGGGTCAGTCAACAAAGTAGAGGAGAGACTGCTGGTCCCTCTGCCCTCTTAGCCTTGTTCTGTGGTTTCTATCCCTTCATTCCTGGCAGGGAGCACAGAGGAATCAGAGCCTCTTGGGGTGCTCAAGGCGGGGCAAAGACCTAGGGCCGGGTCTTGCTGCTTGCCAAGGCCCAGTGGCAATTCAGGGTGACTTCCTGTCTTGGCACAGGCAGGAAAGGTGACACCACAAGGAGTTCGACTGCCACAAGGAGTCGAACAGCCCTGGCTGCTGTTCTCCCAGAGGATGCAGGGGCTGCACTGCTCCTAGGACTGCATAGCCACCCAAGTGCTCCAAATATCGAGCATCGTGAGCAGCAAGGGAAGGGCCGGGCTGGGTGGGGACAGCTGCTGGAGCCATGGTTGGTCCGCCAGGCAGGGGAACAGCCTTCCAGCAGGGTCTTGGTGACACTCTTATTGATCAGATCCAGAGCCAGACCTTCTGTTAGGGGCTAGCTCAAGGCCAGAAACCTGTAGCTCAGGAGAGCTTGGCTTTAGATTTCTAGAAATAATGGGAACAGTTGCCAAGTCACTAACACAGCCCCAGGAAAGAGCATCTCCTTAAATGTTGTGCCCTGGCACCTTGCTTTCCTCACTCTAGTCTCAGCTTTGGCTGAAGGGGTCAGAGGCAAGGTTAAGGGCTCTCTGTTGAGGGGCTGGTGGATCTAGTCAAAGAGAGGCCACTTCGGTGGAGTAGTGCTGAGATCTGTCAGCCTGGGAAGTTTGGCAGGAGGCCATAGGCACTCTGGGGGCTCATACTGGGCTGAAATCCTCATGATTGGGCTGGAGTATGAGCCCCAGGAGTCCAGGATCATGGAGAAGATGGCTTTGCTTGGGATGGAGGAATTGAGCAGCTTCTTGGACACCTCCTCAATGGATGTCTAAAAGGGTTCTTCCTCCTGCTGGGAGAAGCCAAGCTTGGAGGTGGGCTCCAAAACCTTGTCTGGAGGTGCTGAGGCCCTGAGAATTGCAGGTTGGGCTCTTTCAGGCCAGGAGAAAACAAGATCTGTTTCTACCAGACCTGAATTTCCTCCGTCTCTCCCTCTGCTAACCATCAGTATTTCAAAGACTCCTGGGTTGGGGATGTAAACCCAGTATAGGAGGTCTTTGTCCTTGAAATGAGAGGCTGGGACAAGTCCCTCTAGGACTGGACTGACTCCTCTTGGAGATCTGGGATGGGAAGATGCATCTTTGCAAGGTGGGCACTCCAATTTGATGGCCTCTAGGAGAGGCACTGCCTCCCCTGGCTGGATTCCTCTAAGAGAGGTTTCTGCTTTTGTCCAGTCCCGAAGCAGGAAAAGGGGTTTCTCCTTCCTCAGCTAGGATCACCTGGGGGCTTGTGAACTCTCTGGCAGGGATGACTGAATCTGAGCTCATTAGTTTATGGGTGTAGCCCCCAGGGAAAGTTGGATCTTCACTGAGGGCTGCAACACCAAGGCCTGTTCACAGGGAATTAAGTGGGCCAAGGTGTGAGTGGGCATCAGGGAGTCCAGGTTGGATGCACAGATTCCTGACAAGTTCTGCAGTGGGTCATCCCTGCTATTTAAATACCTGGGGCACCCCCCAAGTAGCCACTGGCATTGAAGCAGATGGCCCAGAAGAAGACCTTGCCATTGGTGGATATTTCGCTAAAAACATATTAGGGAGGAGGCTTGGCAGATGGAATACTTCCAGCCTGATGTAGAATGAGCTTCAATTAGGGGAAATGTTTCTCCATCCTTGTATAGATGTCTTCCAGTCACGTGTTCCCATCCATGTTGAAGGCAAATTGAATCATATCCAGTTAGGCTGGGGCACCTCATTATTAGCGGGCTCTGATCCCAGGGTGGTTCTCTGTCTCCATTGCTTGCTGCTGCTGCTGGAGCCCAACCCATCAGAACTCATCTTTCCAAGTCAAGAGTGAAGCACAGCTGCCTTGTGTCTGCCTGGAATGGGCTCCAGTGGTTTGGAGGATGAGTTCTGGAGAGCGAGTTTGGAGAATAAACTTCTAGGACCGCCTGTTGCTACTGTCTTTTCCTTTAGTGGTCAAGAACGAGACATTGTTCAGACTATTGCCATCTTTGGGGACAGCCATTATCTGGGTGTTGGGTGGGGGTGGGGGTGATTAATAACCTTGATTCCAGTTGGAAACTTTCAAGGGTCAGCACTGCTGCCTCTCAGGAGCCCTGCACCCGACCAGGATCAGGTCAAAGCCCTGAGAACAGTCTGAGGTCAAAGCCCTGAGAACAGTAAGGGGAGGGGAGCAACCAACATTAGTGTAAACCCCAGAATCTGAGCCTGAGAACAGAAGCTCTGATGTCCGAGAGCAAACGATGACGTCCCAACTCTAGAACAGAGAGCAAATTCACTTTTCCTCTGCCTTTTTGTTCTAGCAGGGCCCTCAATGGATCGGATGGCACCCACTCACTTTGGTGAGGGCAGATTTTCTTTCAGTTGACTGATTGAAATGCCAGTCTCTCTCAGTAACACCCTCACACACACCCAGAAGTGGTCTTTTACCAACTATCTGGACATCCCTTGGCCCAGTGAAGTTGACACATAAAATTACCCATCACAGAAGCTCAACTCAACTAGCCAAGACAAAAGGAGAAATAGGCCGGGCATGGTAGCTCGCACCTGTAATCCCAGCACTTTGGGAGGCCGAGGCAGGTGGATCACTTCAGGTCAGGAGTTCAAGACCAGCCTGGCCAACATGGTGAAATTCCATCTCTACTGAAAATACAAAAAATAGCCGGGTGTGGTGGTGCTGTAGTGGTGGTGCACCTGTAGTCCCAGCTACTTGGGAGGCTGAGGCACGAGAATCATTTGAACCCAGGAGGCAGAGGTTGCAGTGAGCCAAGATCATGTAACTGCGCTCCAGCCTGGGTAACAGAGAAAGACCTTGTCTCAAAAAAAAAAAAAAAAAAAAAAAAAGAAAGAAAAGAAATATACTGGCTCAATGAAGTCATGGGAATGATTGCTTCAAGAAGCAGGCAGAATTACAGGGATAAGAGATTTATTGGGAAGTATAGCTCCCATCAGAGGTGAAAAAGGGAGAAAGCAGTCTCAGGCATGATGAGCATCCGACCCCTCTGCAAAGAGAGCTGGGGGCGGGGGGAACAGGATTGTGCAGCTGGAGCCTCAGACCCTGATGCACAAAGTCTCAGACACCCTGACAGAGAGCTCTGGCCCAGAGAGCTTATTCACCGGCTTATTAGACGACTTCCACTTTGGGTAGAAATAGCCCGGCATGGTCACTGGCTGGGGACTTCCTGGGAGGAGCATGGCCTTGGCTCACAAGCTGGGGTGGACCCTGGGTACACTGACAGCAGCCAGCTGTCAGCTCACCATCCTCTTCACAGAGGAGCAGCATTGGGTTTGGAAGGGAAATCCAAGGGTGCATCTCCATGGTTGCCACAGAAACAAGGGATACGGTTTGGCCTAAGGAATGCCAAGAATCTGAGGCTCATCTGATACAAAGACCTTCTTCGCACCTCATTCCTACTTTACTCTGCGGTCAGCTCCATTCTCCCTCACTGAAAACCAATCTCATTCACATGATAAGAAATATGGCCTATGGAAGCTTCCATGTGTTACTTCCTACAGCTTTTGTTACCCAGGAGGGTCTGACTCACACGGTCACTGGTCCAAAGTTCAAAATCCTGGGGAAGGCCAACTGGCCCAGCTTGGGCTGGGTTCCCTCTCCTGGACCAATCACCTGGTGCCAGGGCCAGGACCATGCAGAAATACAGCAGCTCCATCTCACCAAGCAGCTCCATCTCACTGTTTTTTAGAAAAACAGCAGCACTGACTACATACAATTAGATATCTGTTCCAAATGGTCTACACATCTTGTCTCCATTTCCTCACTCCAATTCACCCTTCAGACATTTGCAGTCGAACTTTTGCCACCATCATTCTACTGAAGCAGCTTTCTAAGTGACCGCCCATGAGTTTATAGTTAATAAATCTGATGGTCCTCTTGAACTGTCAATATAACAGTTGCTGACATAGGACTGGCTCTAGCTATTGTGCCCACTGCAGTAGATACTTGGGCCTGACTGTCCAGCCTGGGGGCCAGCATTTCCCTGGGAACTCCCATTTCTTCCATAAACGGGTAGGACATGACATCCATAGGACAACGATCATAGCTGAACAACCCTGGGATCAACTTGACCTTAGCTTAGCTAGATTCTTTCTTCCAGGAGTCTGGAATTGAGAAAGTTAGTCAATTGTTTGAATGACTACACCAGTAACTGGTCAATGTGGAAGCTATGGAGAGGCCACCTTTGCTGTGCTCTAT
The DNA here is from genome assembly GCF_000001405.40 of Homo sapiens. NCBI lineage: Eukaryota > Metazoa > Chordata > Mammalia > Primates > Hominidae > Homo > Homo sapiens. Next base: position 149,749,317 of record NC_000007.14, read on the forward strand.
GAGTGAAGAAGCAGGAAAGCTGGTCCACAGAGAAGGAAGGAAGGAATGCACAGAGAAGCAGGGGAGAAAATAGCGCATCTGGTGAGTAACCCTGGAAGAAAGCAGTTGTGTGGGGTACACAGCAGAGCAGAAGCTGAAGCGTGGTCATTTAGAGGGTGCATTGCCCTCATTAGGGAGTCCCTAATGAGGAGCCCCATACAGGGAGCAAGTGACCTAGAAGAACTCAGCAAAGGACCTCATGAGAGACAAAGTCACTATTCCAGCAGCATCCTGCCACACAGAGGACACCTGGGTTGGGTGACAACAACACTGGTCAGATGGGAGGCATTCTCCTTCCCCTCCTTCCTGTCATCCCCCTGGGGGAGCCAACTGGGGCCCAGGGTGTGAGGAAGAGCAGTGAAAGAACAAGATGGAGATCACTGAGACCTGGGCCCCTTTTCCCATCACAGCAGTCCCCAGTGAGATTGGAGAGATGCTTCAGAGTGGATGAGATATAGAAGTTGTGGGTTAGATGGTGCTAGACTTTTTAGTAACTGAAAATGAGACTATTCTAACTTCCAAGATATATTAGGATCCACCAAACATATGGTCCAGGAGTGGGTGTGACCAGAACTTCTCCTGCCCCTGTACACTCACTACCGTGCCATGGGTCTTGGCTGCTGTTCCCACCAAAGACGGTTTTCCCACCTCTTAAACCTTGGGGGGCTTTGTAACTTGATTTGATCAAGAGAATATGGCTGAAGTGACACTGTGTGAGTGCTGCAGCCATGGCTTCAGGAAGCCCTTACAGATTCTGCACCAGCCCCCTTGGAATACAGAGCTGGCATGTCGGAGGCCCGGGTCAGCCTCCTGGAGGAGGAGAGAGAGGCCTAGCCAATAGCTAGCACCAACCACTGGATATGAGAATAGGACCATTTTGGACCACCCAGATCCAGTTGGGCCACAAGAGCCACAAGGTAACTGTACCTGCAAGGAGGAACCCAGGTGAGACCAGCCAAAAACCACTCTGCTGAACCCAGTCCAAACTGCTAACCCACAGAACTGTAAGCAAATAAAAGGTTGTTTTAAGTGGCTCAATTTCGGAGTGATTTGTTACACACAATAAAAAAGTGATATAGCGAAGAAGGCAGATACAACAGAATGGGTTTGAATGCGACGATGAAAGAAGAAAATAAAGTTGTTTCTTGCCACTTCCCAAGTCCAGCTCATTTAATTTACAAGCAATATTTGCAAAAGGCAGATCCGGGCAGCGATGTGAGATTTTTCCCCTGGGTATTCTCAAGTGCCTAAATACCTACTTGGTTTAAAATAGATAATTCTCAGCTGGGCACAGTGGCTCAGGCCTGTAATCTGAGCACTTTGGGAGGCCAAGGCAGACAGATCACTTGAGGTCAAGAGGTTGAGACCAGCCTGACCAACATGGTAAAATCCTGTCTCTACTAAAAATACAGAAAAAAAAAATTAGCCAAGCGTGGTGGCAGGTGCCTGTAATCCCAGCTACCCAGGAGGCTGAGGCAGGAGAATCACTTGAATCCAAGAGGCAGAGGCTGCAGTGAGCCAAGATCGTGCCACTGTGCTCCAGCTTGGGCGACAGAGTGAGACTCTGTCTCAAAAAAAAAAAAAACAAAACAACATAGATAATTCTTATCTCTGGACTCTCCCCTTGTCCCACTCTGCAATGTTTCCCTTCGGACATCTCCTCACAGAGCTGTGGAAAGCTCAGAAGGCCCCTCTCTGAAGCCTGACTGCTGGTCACCAGCATTGGCCCTCAGAAGGCTGCTGCCAATCAGGGCTGAGGAGAAGCCGTGACCTTCACTGGGAATAGAAGTGGGGGCGAGGGGTGAGCAAGCTCTGCTTTCTTTCCTGAAACAGCAAAATGAGACAAGTGTGTGCACGCTGTGCTGCTGCAGCTGCGAAATGAAAAGCTTCTCATTAGCATCCTTTGCACAGGGGTAGGGGTGGGGGATAACTCAGGGACAGCTCTCAGAGTGCAGAGCTGGGGCTTCTGTTCCCAACCCAGGCCCCCGGCAGGCCCCCTAGGTGTGTCATCTGCCTCCAGCCCAGCTAGGCAAGTGTGCTTCCATCTGGGTTGGGGAGAGGGATGGGTGGAAGTCTCCTGTGGGGTAATTGTGAGTCCTGATCTGGTCCCAGAATGTGAGCCCACCTTAGTTGTGGGACCCTGGGACCTCCACCCTCCCCAGCCCGCTGAGCAGGGAGGGGCATGCAGAGCTGGGTGGAGGGGAAGCAGGTTCCTCTGGCCACACAGGCTCTTCCTGTGCCAGGGGCAGCCCAGGCACAAGATGACAAGGAGAACCGGAAACTAGCCAGCAGGGCCTGCCCTGCAAAATCATGGATTTCCTCTTTCCCTCCCTCCCACCCTTCAGGCCCCAGCAGAACCTCTCTCCTCCAGGCCTCCGTTCTGTCATGCAGGATGAGAGCAGAGGTTCTTAAACCAGCTCTGCGGACCATGTGGGCCCACAGAGGGGCTTAAAGAGGGTGTCCACATACCCTCTAAAATTACGTGCAAATCATTGTTTCTATGCACATTACTCTGAAGGGAGCTTTAAACAACTAAATGCTTGGTGGTTTGCTAAAGGTTAGGAACCGACAGCCTAGAAAATTCTCAGGCCTCTCCAACACTGACATTCCTGCTTTCCCCTTTCTGTCTGCTTTCCTGAGTGTGGTTCTCAGCTCTCTTCTTAGTTCAGGTAGCTCTCTTCTCATCTAATACATATACTTTGCAGTAACGGCCAACGAAGGTGGTATATTACAGTGAGGCTTTAAATGGGACATGCAGAGTATGTGAAACATACCAGATATCTAACTCACATAATTGCATTTGAGCAGTAAGTTTAGCTTTAACCATCTCAGCAGCCACATGAAAAAATAGATCGCTGAATTTATTAACTTTGGGATTTGTGTTTGCTGTCACCCTGTCTTAGTTCACAGCTATAACTCTGCAGGGGTGGATTTTAGGCACTCAGATTATCCGGTAGGGGAGGGATTTTGAGATGGGTAGGCCTTGTAAAGGCTCCTCTTCCACCTGTACAATTCAACATACGTGTTGTGAGTGTTCAAATGTGCCAGGTCCTGGAAATACCAAGACAAAAAAACACGACTTCCGCCCTCGAGATGTTCCCAGTGGGCCTGGAGAGATGAGGCTCCTACAAGGGTGTAACCTTTCTAAACCCCGGTTTCCTTACCTGAGAAGTGAGGACAGCAACCCCGTACCAAAGGGGGCTTAGGGGAATTAAGTAGGAGCCTCAGTCACAGGAGGCACTCACACATTTTAGGCACACGCGGACACACCCAACAACTGCAGGCGACATCTGGTAAGGTGGGAAGCAGAGGAACCATGACAGCTTAAAGGAGGAGATTGTTGTGTGCTGGGATCATTGGGGAAGGACACCCCCAGGAGGTGGCCCCCATCTGTGCTCGAAAAATAGGTAGGATTTAAAAGGGAAGTCAGGGCAGTAGGCACTTTGTGATGGGGAAGCCCAGGGAGGCCGGGGCAGGAGGCAGGAAGGACCACACGGCCCGGAGACAGGAACAAGACCGCTTGGTGTAAGGGAGGGTGTGTACCCAGGAGGTTTGGAAAATAAGTTTCAAAAGTTTGTTGGGGCCAACTGTAGAGAGCCTTGAGTTAGAACAGACATGTATTGCACACTGGCTAGGTGGGCACTCTGCTCTGTGCCAGGGAAGCTTGCCACCCCCAGAGGGACACACAGAATAATGTGGCACAATGTGTCAACCGCTAAGGCCTCTGGATATTCAGATGAGCAGAAGTTTCTAAGCTGGGGCGTAATAAGTTATAAGGAAGATCAGCCTGACAGTTGGAGGATAGATGGGGAAGCAGGAGTTGGGGAGAAGTCAGAGGGGGACCTGATAGGAGAAGGTTGCCCACTGGCCTGGGCTTGGGGGGACAGTACTGGGAGGGTCAGGGGCAGCAGGGGCAGCAGGGCAGGCATCTGCAAAGGATGAGCGTGCTATGACGCGAGCTCCATCATTCTGGAGAAAGAGGATCCTGAGGCCTTAGGAGTTCTCCTGGAAGCCCCACAGTGAAATCTCAAGAGAGAAAATCCCAGCGAGGACAGGGACACTGGGCCCACGGGAATCCTGTCTTGCTGGGCCGGAGGGGAGCCCTGGGTCTGGCTCCTGTAGAGCCTGAAATAGAATCCGATTTGCGATGCCCCTAATGATGTTATGTAATGACATTGCATAAGCCCGTTACGTAAATCAAAGTCCTGCTATTGACCAAGAATGTCCCCTGCCCCAAGGCTGACCTAATCCCACGCCTGAAGGCTCAGTCCTTTGTGGCAGTTGGATAAATCTGTTTCCTAAAGCCTCTGTGAAACCCTCCCGACCTTAAAGTCTCTGTCTTTAGGGTTCCTGGGGCCTCCTTCTCCGTTGCTGCTTCTCCACTGTGGGAGGCCTCAGTGTGACACTCACTCATCCTTCCCCAGGTGAGGGTTCCCAGGGAAGGACAGGATTCCAGTCCTTCCACCAGCGTGGAATTGTGGCCGTGCGCCCTCTTCTGGGGGTCTTGCATACTCCCTCTGACTGTGAAATACAAGACTTGTCTCTGGTTAAAAGACATTTCAAGGATCAGTAAGTGAGTGAAGAAGTTTTCTTCCCTGTGGGGCATGGGTGGCCTCCCCAGGACCCTGGAGTTAACAACTACGAGCAGGTTCTTGAGTCCCAGGAGCAGAAAGAATCTTTCACTACTGGAAACCAGCATGTCCCGTGAACGCACTCACCAACCTGTCTGCCTTCAGTCGGCCCATCTGTCTCCCTGAACATACTAGCAGAAGCCCTCCCACCCTCAACCCACCTCGCCAACCCCCACCCCGGCTCCCCTTCAAGCCCTCTCCCCAGCATAGGCAACATCTTCCTCGGGAGGCTGTCTCCTTCCTTCATCTATGTCTCTCTACAAGTAAATCCTGGTGTGCACACCACCACCCCCGACACATAAACACAGTTTACAGAAACACCAAACAAAACAGTCATGTTTGATGGAAAAAGGCTGAGTTCCCAGTTGCTCTTAGTGTCTCCTAAAAGTCAACTGTTTACTGTCCTATCAAAGCTATTTTACTGTTATAGGACTAGGAAAAATTTAAATTTAAAAATCACACGAAGAATAAAGTAACACAAAGCAAAACTGTTTATGTTTTATCTTTTTTTTTTTTTTTTTCAGACAAGTTCTTGCTCTGTCACCCGGGCTGGAGTGCAGTGATACAATCTTGGTTTACTGTAACCTCAAACTCCTGGGCTCAAGGCATCCTCCTACCTCAGCCTCTTGAGTCACTAGGACTACAGGCCTGCTACCATGCCTGGGTAATTAAATTTTTTTTTTTTTTTAGAAATGGAGTCTCCCTATGTTGCCCAGGCTGGTCTTGAACTCTTGGCCTCAAGTGATTCTCCCACCTCGGCCTCCCAAAGTGCTGGGATTACAGGTGTCAGCCACAGTGCCCAGCCTCTTTTGGCTTTTTTGAATGATATGACACATCTCCAAAACATAGCACAGGGTGGATCCAAGAGCTCCTGGGGTAAGAGCTGCCTGGACCCACAGGTCCACTCTCATGGGCTCTGATTAGAGCTGCACTGCCCCATTCCCTCCCAATACCAGGAGCCCTCATTTCAGCCTCAGCTCCCCCAACTTTGACACAGTATTTTACTCAAGGTCTCTGTTATGAATTGAATTGCGCCCCCCAAGAAGTCCAAAAAGTTGTGTTGAAGTCCTAGCCCTGGCCCCAACCTATGAATATAGCCTCTTGAAAATAGGATCTTTGCGGATAAAATCAGGATGAGGTCATTAGGGTGGGCCGTTCTCCAATATGACTGTTGTCCTTATAGGAAGAGGAGGGACACAGACATGCCCAGAGTGGAGGAGACCCAGGAAGAAGGTGATGGGAGGATGGAGGTAGAGATTGAAGTGCTGTGTCTATAAGTCAAGAAATGGCCAGGAGAAAGGCCTGGAACAGAGTCTTCCCTTGAGCCTTCAGAGGGAGTGTAACACCTGATTTCACACTCATAGCCTCCAGACCGTGAAGGAATAGATTTCTGCTGTTTTGAAGCTATGCAGTGTGTAGCACTTTGTAAAGGAGGCCTCAGGAAGCGAACACAGCAGCTTCGGTGAACGCAGTGCCACATGGCACAGCTCCCCCCTTGCCTGTGTGCAGGGGGCAGCAATGTCAGCAGGACAATTTTCAGGCAATTCACAGAGACTGTGGCTTGGAGTTGGGCCCAGGCTGGCCAGTGTCTTGGGAGTCTGTGAGGCCTCGACCCTCTTCCCAGGTTGCTATCTGCCTGCCCCATAAACACATCCTGAGACTTTGCTACCTTCCTTTCCCCCTTCCTTCCTGGTGTTCTCTCAGAGCTGTACCTGTCTGCACTGCCTGGTCTCCTTGGTACATCACCTGCTTGGACATCAGCCACCCTTTCTCAGTGCCTCGATTCAGGATGCCATAATATATGTTTTCTATGAAAATGAAGCTTCATTCTGCCTGCCGATTCCTACCTATTTTAAATCACAGCTGACATCCACGCCTCAACAAAGATTCCCATAGCTGTAGCTCCATGATTCATGATCGCGTCTAGAAAGGGAACATTTTGCAACAGATAGCCAGGCCCAACTTCCATGGCTTCATGCTTCTTCCCAGGTCTCTGCCACCCAGCACTGTCCTCTCCCAGGAGACAGATGCATGCTAATGCCACGTGTGTGTGTAACAGGTTTCCCGGCTGGCTGGAAGCCTGGTCCCCAGTTGCTTACAGTCTTGGCAAGTTAATTCACCTCCTCAGAGATGCCCTCCTGATCTCCAGGTGTGAGTCCCTGCTCCTTGCTCCTTGTTCCATGATCCTTTGCACATACTTCTCTTACCAACCCACTAGGTCCAACCGCGAGTCTGTGAGTGCCCTGAAGACCTTGAATGTGTGTCCTGAAGACCCCTCTCTGCAAGGGGACAGTGGAGCTTGGTGTTTAAAAGTACAGGTCCTAGGAAAATGCAAACCAAAATCACTCTGAGATGTCGCCTCAAAGCCATGAGGATGGCCAGTATCAAAAACCAGAAAATAACAATTGTTGGCAAGGATGTGGCGTCATTGGAAGCCTCATGCATGGCTGGTGAGAATGTGAAATGGTGCAGATGCTGTGGAAGACAGTATGTCAGCTCCTCAAGAAATTAAAAATAGAATGACCATATGATCCAGCAATTCCATATCTGGGTATATACCCAAAAGAGCTGAAAACAGGCACTCAAACAGACATATGTACACTCCTGTTCACAGCAGCATGATTCACAATACCATAAGGTGGAGGCAACCAAGTGTTCATTGGTGGATGATTGGATAAACAATGTAGTGTAGACATGCAATGGAATATTCAGCCTTAAGAAGGAAGGAAATTCTAAGACCTGCTACAGCATGGATGAACCTTGAGAACATCATGCTAAGTGAAATAAGCCAGTCACAAAAGACAAACACTATGTTATTCCACTTATAGGAGGTCCCTAGAGTAGTCAGATTCATAGAGATAGAAAGTAGAATGATGGTTGCCAGGGATTTGGAGAGGGGAGAATAGGGTTTAATAGGCACAGAGTTTCAGCTTTGCAAGGTGTATTAGTCAGGATTCTCTAGAGAAAGACAACCTTGGGGTGTGTGTATATACATGTAGAAAGAGATTTGTTTTAAGGAATGGGCTCATGTGATTACAGGGGCTGGCAAGTCCAAAATCTATAGGGTGGCTTTGGCTGGCTGGAGACCTAGGGAAGAGCCGATGCTTCTGCTGGCTGAATTCCCTCTTCCTTGGGGGAGGTCAGTCTTCTGTTCTGTTCAACTGATTGGGTAAGGCCTACCCACATTATGGAGGATAATCTGTTTACTCCAAGTCCACCAATTTAAATGTTAATATCATCCATAAACCCTCATATAAACATATAAAGATAATGTTTGGTCACATATCTGGGCACCATGGTCTAGCCAAGTTGACACAGAAAATTAACCATGACACAAGTTGAAAAGAGTTCTGGAGATGGATGGTGGTGATGGTCACATAACGTGAATGTTCTTTATGCCACTAAACTGCAAACTTAAAAATGGTAAAGATGTTACATTTTATGTTCTGTGTATTTTGCCACAATTTAAAATAATGTAATTTTTTAAAAAGCACAAGCTCTAGAGTCAGACCACCAGGTTGCTTTCTTGCGTCACGTATGGCCTCATGTCTGTGCACAGGTCATGGAGACTGTCTGAGTTTCCTTCACCTCATCAGAATAACCAGACTGGGGCGGGCACAGTGGCTCACGCCTGTAATCCAAGCACTTTGGGAGGCAGGCGGATCCGCTTGAGGCCAGGAGTTCAAGACCAGCCTGGCCAACATGGTGAAACCCCGTCTCTACTAAAATACAGAAAAATTAGCTGGACATGGTGGCACGTGCCTATAGTCCCAGCTACTCCGGAGGCTGAGGCACAACAATTCCTTGAGTGCGGGAGGCAGAGGTTTCAGTGAGCCGAGATCGTGCCACTGCACTCCAGCCTGTGCAACAGAGCAAGACTTGTCTCAAAAAAAAAAAAAAAAAAAAAAAAAAAAAGAATAATTGGACCAGGGACAACGATGCCCCATAATAGGGAGGTGGTCAGAATAAACAAAGCAACACTTGTAAACCCTTAATTTGTATAGTATCTAGCAGAAAGTAGGTGTTGATAAATTTTGGTTTATTATTATTATTTGAGGCAGAGTCTCACTCTGTTGCCCAGGCTGGAGTGCAGTGGCGCAATCTTGGCTCACTGCAACCTTTGCTTCCCAGGTTCAAGCGATTTTCATACCTCAGCCACCTGAGTAGCTGGGATTACAGGCACGTGTCACCACGCTCAGCTAATTTTTTTGTATTTTTAGTAGAGACAGAGTTTCGCCATGTTGGCCAGGCTGGTCTCAAACTCCTGACCTCAACTGATCCGCCCGTCTCAGCCTCCCAAAGTGCTGGGATTACAGCGTGAGCCACCGCGCCCGGCCTAGTTTATTAGTATCATTATTCCCGGGGTCCAACAATGCCAGACACACGGCAGGTACTCAGTGCATGGTTTTTGTTTTGTTTTGTTTGTTTTGTTTTGTTTTTGAGGCCAAGTCTCGCTCTTGTCACCCAGGCTGGAGTGCAATGGCGTGATCTCGGCTCTCTGCAACCTTTATCTCCCAGGTTCAAGCGATTCTCCTGCCTCAGCCTCCCGAGTAGCTGGGATTACAGGCGCCTGCCACCATGCCTCGCTAATTTGTGTATTTTTAGTAGAGATGGGGTTTCATCATGTTGGCCAGGCTAGTCTCGAACTCCTGACCTCAGGTGATCTGCCCGCCTTGGCCTCCCAAAGTGCTGGGATTACGGGCGTGAGCCACCGCGCCCAGCCCCAGTGCATGTTTGTTGAATATGTGACTGAATAAATGACCTTGTTCAAATGACTTAATTGCTCTGTGCCTCAGTTTCCTCATCTAAAAAAACTTGGGGATAATAATGATTACCATGAAGATTGACTGTGGAAATATATATGACATGTGTATATATATATGTGTGTGTGTGTGTGTGTGTGTGTGCGTGAAGAACTCAGGTTGGAGAGCCTGATACAGCAAGTATTAGACAAATATTGGCTACCATTATTATTAGTGGTAATAATGGCAAACACTTTTCCTATTGCCTACCCCTTTCTTTGGAGCACTGACTGGCGGAGATGTCATGCAGCTGTGGCTCTGTGAAGGGCTATGGAAGAAGGAAGAGTTCTATTCATCCAGTGCCTCAATGGCACAGGAACTAGAGTAGGGGACACCGCAGAGGTGGATTTTCCCTGCACTGACATTAAGGAAGATGACCCCTTCTCACCTCTAACTTAGTATTGCAAATAGCTGACTTCCTGCAGCCAGCATAGTTGAGCACTTACTTGCACTTTTGTCTTGCGTTGTCTTGCATTGATCTTTTGTTCCTCCGCCTCCTCTTTGTTCCAGTCCTAGCTCCAGTCAAAACTCAACCAGGATCCTCCTCCCTCAGAAACCCCCTGACTGCTCCAGCCCATGCCCTCTCCTGAAGAATAGGATACCATACCTGGGTTGAGTTTTAGGCGTGCCGTGAAACTCCAGCCTTCTCTCCCAGCTAAGGGTTAGGTTTGTGGGTCAGGAACCACGCATGATATTTATATTTACTTCTCTGGAGTCTCCCAAAGCACCCAGCGCCCAGGGCCATGAGTGATCCTTAATTAAACTTGCCTTACATCTGAACTATCAACTCCATGAGGGCGAGAGCTGTCATTCTATTCCTACCATGTCTGCACAAGGCTGGGTAGATTTTAAAGCTCAGCCAATGTTTATGGAGGATTAAAATGCTGGACTCGCCCTGGATGCCTGAGGCAGTCAAGCCTGGGGAACATAACCAGAGCACTCTACTAGCAGCTCTTGGTGTCCGACCCTGCAGATGGAGAAGGAGAAGATACAGGAGGCCAGGCTGCGCAAAAGATTCTTGTGTCTTACCAGTCCTGTGATAGGCAAGATTCACTAAAGCCCGAATGAAGTATATATGTCTTTAGTCTCCTCCCTTCACTATGCTCTGACTCTACCCTGCCAAACCCAGTCTTGATGATTAATTTCATTTCCCCAGCATGGACAAGAGGAACAGTCCAGGCACCTGAGAATCTTCCAATATAAAGCAATACACTGGCCATGTGGCACTCTGGCTGTTTACTGACCATTTCCCCTGCTCCTCAAATTGAAAAGGCAGCAGCAACTTGGGAACTAAGCGCTTGGATGCACTCGGTACTTGTTAATTGGTGCTCATGCTCTAAGGAGCTGAGTCTTGGGGTTAGGCTTGAAATCCTAAGCAGATGAGAAACCCTGCCCTCTTTAACCACTGCTCTGCTCTCCTCTTGGGTGCCTAACCTCGCCTGTGGGAGGGCAGCCCTGTTCTTTGTCTTTCTCCACCTCCTTCCAGCAAGATCGTCATCAGAATGGCTGTGGACTGGGTTCCATTTAAGATTCCCCAGGTTGGCCAGGCGCGGTGGCTCATGCCTATAATCCCAGCATTTTGGGAGGCCAAGGCGGGTGGATCATGAGGTCAGGAGTTCAAGGCCAGCCTGACCAACATGGTGAAACCTTGTCTCTACTAAAAATACAAAAATTAGCTGGGCATGGTGGTGCGTGCCTGCAATCCCAGCTATTCGGGAGGCTGCGGCAGGAGAATTGCTTGAACCCGGGAGGCAGAAGTGGCAGTGAGCTGAGATCGCGCCACTCTAGTTTGGGTGACAGAGTGAGATTCCGTCTCCAAAAAAAAAAACAAAAAACCAAAAAAAAAAAACAAATTCTTCAGGTCTCAGGTATCTATCAGTTGGAGGTTCTAAGAATGGGATAGATTAGCAGTGGAGGGAGGAGATAGGAACCCACTGAAAGGACTGAGAGGAAGATGAAGGGTTAACTGGACACAAGTGTGTAAAGATTATCTGAGTCAACGGCTGCCGAAAATTCTGGTATGAGATAGCAATGAGATAGTTTGAGCTCAAAAGCTCAAACTTTTGAGATGGGGTGGAGGTAGGGTACAGAGAACTGAGGGCTCTGATAAAGGCTAAGCCATGGGCCCAACTGAGGCATCGCTAGGTTGATGCCTGGTGGGGTTAAGGCCTCCATGGTGTTTCTTCTATTAACCATCACAATCCAGGGAACTTGGATATTGTCATTCTTGTGACAAATGAATATGTCCCATCTCCCTCACAAACAAGAATTCGGGTCTGTGACATGGAACAGAGCTCTCCAACGTGTTGGGAGTTCCAGGGATATGGAGGTCATTCTCTCAGCTATCAGGACCACCAGGTGTGGGGCTGGGGCGGCCCCAGCCATCACCACAGGCCTCCAGTGGACTCCCCAGTGACCCTAATATTATCCTTACCTAAATGTGCCAACCCATTAAAAAGATTGGGAAGAGTTTCTGTTTGGGATGATGAAAAAGTCCTGGATATAGACAGTGGTGATGGTGACGCACCATTGTGAGAGTGCTTAAGCCACTGAATTGTACATGTAAACATGGTTAAAAGGGTAAATTTCATGTTATTTATGTTTTACCACAATCAAAAATTT